>NT_167251.2:1624639-1821992 GCF_000001405.40 Homo sapiens | reverse complement strand
GAATTCCAATATCACTTCCTCCGCACTCTTTTGGCTGCTTCCTTGGAAAGGGGGTAAGGGTTCAATATCAGGCGAATTTTAAGATCTGTGGTGAGGTGTTATTAATTGCCCCGCCACCACCACAACCGAGACACACACACACACACACACACACACACACACACACACACGTCAGCGTCTCTCCAGCTGCTGTTCCTGGGAGCCCCAGCAGGTGGCACTATGACCCTGACCATCCTCGCAGGCCCCATCCAGAATGTGTGGGCACAATAACTTTAAGGTCCAGGGTCTCCCAGGGGCCCAGAGGCAGGATCTCACCTCTGAGGAGCCCCACCAGGAGAGTCCTGTCCCAGAGAGAAGGGCCGGGTCTCCTGTCTCCACTCTTCTTTAGTGAAGGTAGCTCAACTTCCTGGTTAAGAAGCTAGGCAGGGGTGCAGAGGTGGGGAGTGAAGGGGGCTGAGGGGGCGCAGGCCCTCCTCCCTTCCCTCCAACCCAGCTGGATCTGTTCCTCATTGCATTAGGAGATGTATTCTCCCAACCCTTAACAACTCATCCCTAACCCACCTGACCACCAGCCCTGAGCTTTGGGGACAAATCTTGGCAACTGCTGAGGGCCACTGTAGGTCAGGAATGACTACACTGATGAGAAGCTAGAAGGCACAAAGGAGGAGGGGTAAGTCAGGGAGGCTTCCTGGAGGAGGTGAGGGTGGACCTAAGAGATTAACTCATGGTCACCTCATTAAGAATAAGGGAGACTGGGCTGGGCGTGGTGGCTCATGCCTGTAATCCCAGCACTTTGAGAGGCCGAGGTGGGTGGATCACGAGGTCAGGAGATCGATACCATCCTGGCTAACACGGTGAAACCCTGTCTCTAATAAAAATATTAAAAATTAGCTGGGCGTGGTGGCGGGTGCCTGTAGTCCCAGCTACTCGGGAGGCTGAGGCAGGAGAATGGCGTGAACCCGGGAGGCGGAGCTTGCAGTGAGCCGGGATTGTGCCACTGCACTCAAACCTAGGCAACAGAGTGAGACTCTGTCTCAAAAAAGAAAAAAAAGAATAAGGGACAACATGGCAAGACCTCATCTGTCTACTAAAAATAAAAAAAAATTAGCCAGGTGTGGTGGTGTGTTCCTGTAGTGCCAGCTACTCAGGAGGCTGAGGTGGGAGGATCACTTGACCCCAGGAGATGGAGGCTACAGTGAGCACTGATCGCACTACTGCGCTGCAGCCTGGACAACAGAGCGAGATCCTGTCTCCAGAAAGAAGAAGAAGGAGAAGGAGAAGGAGAAGAAGAAGAGAGACTGAGGGCCAATCTAGGGAGTTTGATGCTGCCTGGGGGAGGAACACTGACAGGTGAGCTCAATGGCCATTTTTTGGAATGCTTCTGGGGGTAAGGTGGGCCTCCAGAGACTCTTCCCTGAACAAGCTAGAGAAACAGAAGCCACAGACTCTAAGAGTATATTAGCGTGGGGGAAGCCCTTGAGGAGCTGGCCAGGGGTTCTGAAGGAATAACAGGGGTGCTGAGTTGTGAGAGGGCAGAGGGAACCTTCCAGGTTAAAACTGGCTCCTCTGCATGGGGGAGGGGTGTGACAGAGGACAGGGAAGGGGAGGAGGCAGGCGAGAAGGACCAAGCCTGTGCCCAGCCTCAGGGACAGGGCTGAGCCCCTACCTACAGCCCAGGAGGTATATTTGCTTGCTAGAGTTGACCGTTCTTGAGATGAAATCAGGGGCAAGCCAGCGAGAGGAGCTTTCCACTCAAGGAGCTCCGTACCCCCTGTTGTAAAGCCCAGCCATGCCTCGGCAGGCCTAGCAGAACTTGCCAGGTGCCCTAGTGGGCTCCTTGGTGGCCTAACTCTCCATCTCCTAATGCGCGCCCTCCCCAGCAGCCTGCCCTCTCCCAGAGGCAGAACCCAGAAGGCCTCCCTCCTGCGATCAGACCCAGGCACCACCTGCTTCTCCAGCCACTGCCCAGGACACCACTTCCCCCTGAGAGTTGGCAAATCCGTCGTTTTGGTTACCACCTCATGGAGATTCAGCCCCTCTGGAAGTAAGACATTTTCTTTTTTTATTTTTTGAAACAGGGTCTCACTCCATCGACCAGGCTGGAGTGTAGTGGTGCCATCCTAGCTCACTGCAACCTCAAATGCCTGGGCTCAAGCAATCCTCTCCCCTCAGCCTCCCGAGTAGCTGAGACTGCAAACACATGCCACCACACCTGACTTAGTTTTAAATTTTTGCAGAGACAGGGTCTCACTATGTTGCCCAGGTTGGTCTCAAACTCTTGGCCTCAAGTGATCCTCCTGCCTCAGACTCCCAAGATGCTGGGATTACAGGTATGAGCCATTCTTGATACCTGGGATGGGACATGGTCCAGAATGGGGACAGGAAAGACTCCAGAACTAGCAGAACCACACACTCCAGCCAGAAAAAGAGGCGAAGGAAGTTGAAGGAAAAGCAAGCCTCCCGATCAGGAGCCCCCAGCAGTTTCTAGCAGGCAGACTGGCTCACTTCTTCCCCGGGCAGGCCTGTTTTCCAGGACGCTCACTCACGTGGGAAACAGCTCAGTGCACACATGCACTGAGTCAAAGCTTTCTTGGAAGATACAGTGATTTCTTGATTTTGTTAGAACTGACTCACACACACCCTCACTCACTCCATGAGCCAGGGAAGCAGGGCTGCCCACCACACTGAGCAGGAGACTGGGGTTTGAGTTTGAGCTCAGGTCGGCCTCCAGCAGTGTCTCGGAAAGCTCAGAGAGAAGTCAGGCAGTGAGGTGACCAGATGGGGAGTCGGGGTGGGTTGGCTGTCCCTTCCTCCCTAACACTCACCTTCTGATTCTTCTTAGAGGGCTGGTAAGGCTCCCAGGACTGGCATTCAGGCCTTGGCATGCCAGAGGATCAAAAGAAACTGCCCGTCCTTTCATGCAATTGATACAAGAAGCAACAGAAATTGCAGCTTGCTTTCAGTGGGACGTTAGAACTTGTGGAAGGAGCCATCACCCAGGGAGCTCAGCTGAAGCGTCAGGGCTCAGGCCCAGCTTCCACGCACATGCTGCTTCCCGGTTTGCTGACGTCCTCTGTGCTGAGAGCACCATGTCACTCCTCAGCTGACATCACTCTGGATTGGCAGCCAGGGCCATGAGCTCGTTTTGTCAACAACCCTCCCCCTCTTTTTGCTCTTTCCTGGCTGTGTGGTGGACTCTTCAGGGACACAGCAGTCACTGCGCTGCAGGGACAGTCCCCAAGTGCCAAGGCACAGCCTAAAGGGGCCTGTTCCCACCATGGCATCCGTGACAAGAACCAGGAGCCAGAATGCAGGTTTCTGGGACTTGTCAGCTCCCTTCTGAGTGCCCTGTTGAGGATTCCTAGAAGTCCAGACACCTCACCCCCCTAACCTGGATGGACCACGCAGAGCCAATAGGAATACTTTTCTGTGGACGTGCCATGTTGGAATCCCAGATCTCCCTGCCCTGCCAGCCCCTGCCAGCTTCCTGGGGACCCAACTGGTGAGTTTCACCCCCAAAGTGGCTGCGACATTGGAAGGCCAGGGCCACCCCTGCCTTTTCCATTGCTCGGCAGCTCAATCGTTCATCCATAATCCCCAGGCGTGGAGGCAGGGCTGGGGGCTCAAGGGGCTCTCGGTGCAGCGGCAGGGGCGGGGGCAGGGGCTCCCCTAACTGCAGAGGCTAGCCTTACACACCCAGCAACACATGTCCCCCTTTATGGCCCGGGCTTTCTCTCGGTGCTTAAAGCCAACTGTGAAAAGAGCAGGGCTGATTCTGGCTGCCTGGCCGTTTCCTGGCAACAGGCCTGGCAGGAGGTCTTTCTTTCTCCCCCCAACCTCCCTTCTCTCCTCCACCACCCCCCTCTCTCTTTTCCCCCCTGTGTCTTGTGTTGTGTATCATTAAAACTTCCCTCCCAGCCACTTCGCAGCCAACAACCAGGCCCTTCTGGGGCTAGTTCCCTCCGGGCAGCTCAGCCGGCCCGGGGTGGGGGCTCCGAGGGGTCAAGGCCCCCAGAGAGGAGGCTTTGTGTTCTGGAACCAAGGCTTAAACTCAAGTTGGCAACCTTTGGCACGTTTGTGAGGGGCAGCCACCAGCACCCCCTCTGCAGGCACCTCTTCCTTCTCTGTCTTCCTCCCCCACCTTTCAGGGTCTCGGTCTCTTCCTTTAGTGCCTGGAGCCTGCCAATAGTGCCACTGGGCACTGCCCAAAACCACGCGGGCCTCACGAGGCTGGGCATGGACAACCCTTCACCTAGGAGGACAAGCCTCTGCTGAAGGCTGGGGTAGCTCTAGCCAGAGGCCTGCAGCCAGCTCTGGCACAGTGTCCTGGTCTGCCCTGAAAGGGCACAGGAACACAAAGGGTGTTGGCCTCAGGGATCACGGGGAAGCAGAGCATTCACTCAATGCATACAGGACCCAAAGAACTCTTCATTTGGCAGTTTCAACCTGCAGGGACACTGAGACCCAGAGGGGGTGAGTGCCTTGTCCGGGGACACACAGCCAGTCAGGAGAAAGCTGAAGCTGGAACCCTGGTTTCCCAGTCCCCTCCTCTGTGGCTCTTCACTGGAGGGGACCCGGAGGGGAACAAGTGGCTCCCTGAGGCCCACGCACCTTTTGGGCCTGACCTGCCTGCCTCCAGAGCAGTGCTCAGGGGTGTCTGAACTTGACCCCGCCACTCTGGGGCCCTCCCCCTCTTCTCCTAGACCCTGAAGAAAGCCTCTGATGGGCCTAGAACAGAGAAGGTGACCCAGGACCTTGCCCAGCCTTTCTGGACAACTGGAAGACAGTTACGCTTCGTCCTCCACCTCTCCCTCCAACGTGAGTATCCGAGTCACAGGGGCCTAGTGCTGGCCTCCTCTGTCATCCAACCCACTCTTAAGGCTGGATGGGCCACCCCAGATCACCTATCTGGTACCTTGAGGCAGAGCAGATGCTGGGGGTAATCTCAGCTCATAGCCAGGTGGCTTCCGGGTGCAATTCTGGGGTTCTGCCAGCTCTAGCCTCGCTCACCCACAGGGTCTCTGGCCAACCAAGATGCCCTGACCACACAGACTGTATGGTCAGGCACTTACAGCGCACCCTGACTGCAAGCCCTCAGCTCTGTTGTCCCATGTTCCGGTGTTTTCCAGACTCCAGGCATTTCCATGCTACCCCCACTCTATAGCTGCATGCATACCTGTTCTGCTATTTTTTGAACACTTTTCTTTACATTGATTTGCATTGTTCTTAATAACGTCAACTGAAAAGAAGATTTTAGATTTACTCATTTTCAACAATGAGGTTTCATTCTAACCAGACACTATGGCCCTGCAAAGGCTCTGAATGTGTGACTTTCTCTCTTTATTAGAAAAGGATCTTAGCAAGTGTTGGAGAGGTGCTGAAGTCGTATTAGGACCAACCAGACTTTTTCTTTGAGGATACTCAGAAGGAGTGAAGGAGAATGGAACAGGGGGTGTGAATAAATGAGCTTTCTCCATGTGTGATTCAAAGTGGTTTAACCCATGCCTCACCTTCTAGAACACCCGTGGCCCTCTCTAGCCATGAGAAGTGTCACCACTAGCCATCAAAATGCTCCCAAAAGTCCAACCTTTGACCAAACTACATTTCAGATTTTCATTTCAGATTTTCTTAAATTCTGGAGAAAAAAGAAAATAAAGTAAAAGAATAAATATTTTGGTTATGCCATGTACTCTGATTTGGGATTCAGAAATATGATTTCTGGCCAGGTGTGGTGGCTCATGCCTGTAATCCCAGCCCTTTGAGAGGGGAGGATCTCCTGAGCCCAAGAGTTGGAGATCAGCCTGGGCAGTGTAGGAAGAAGACACCATCTCTAAAAATAATAAAAAGTTAGGCAGGTGCGGTGGTGCATGTCTGTGGTCTCAGCCACTCAGGAGGCTGAAGTGGGAGGATTGCTTGAGCCCGGGAGGTCGAGGCTGCAGTAAGCCGTGTTTGTGCCATTGAACTGTAGCCCAGGCGACAGAGCGAGACCTCATCTCAAAAAAAAGAAAGGAAATATGATTTCCCACATTACCACACCTGCTGATGTGCATAGCAAAAGGCTGGGTGTGGGGGTGGGGAGGCTATGGTAGGCAAAGGTAGGGGTGGGTGATGAGGATGAGGGGAGGAAGGCTTTTGGGCAGTCTGAGAAAAGCAAGAGAGCTGGGAACATCTCGTCACCAACAGTCCTCAATCACTAAGACAGCCTGGTTAGGATTCTGCCATTATGTTTGGTCTCATGATAATAACAGGTCTTAGGAAGTCAGCCTGTGTTATCTACTAGATGCCCTGAGCTTTTTGGGTAAACTATGCCATTTAACCCTGCCAAGGGTGGAATTAGTATACCCATTTGCCAGATAAGAAACGGCCACAGAGAGATCTAGATAACTTGCCCAAAGTCACAGCTCAGCAGCAGGGAGCCAGGATGTGAACTTGTTCTTTCTGATCACAGAACTCATGCTCCCCCCACCCCACCACAGCATCACTTTGCCCCCACCCCCTACTCCCATCCCAACCTGAGGCTATTTGGCCAGTGAGGACCAGGCCTTAGGAGATAACCATCCCCTCAGGTGAAAGAGTGAGTCCCAGTGTCCCCAGGCAAGGCTTCCACCAGCCCCTCCCAGCAGAGACTTTAGGAAGTGCTCCTGTGTGGCATGGCTGGTGGGGCTGTGCCCCTCCATCCCCGAAACACACTCAGGGAGCCTGAGAATGGCTCCTAGACACCTGAGAATGAAGGGCAGAGGGGAGACTGTAGGAGGCAGGTGGCTGGGCTGCTGCTTTTTCTCTTTTTAAAAAATTGAGGCCAGGCGTGGTGCCTTACACAGTAATCCCAGCACTTTGGGAGGCTGAGGCGGGTAGATCACCTGAGGTCAGGAGTTCGAGACCAGCCTGGCCAACATGGTGAAACCCTTTCTCTACTAAAAATACAAAAAAATGAGCCAGGCATAGTGACACATGCCTGTAGTCCCAGCTACTGGGGAGGCTGAGGCAGGAGAATCACTTGAATCTGGGAGGCTGAGGTTGCAGTGAGCCAAGATTGCTCCATTGCACTCCAGCCTGGGTGACAAGAGTGAAACTCTGTCTAAAAAAAAAAATTGAAATATAATTTGCACACCATAAAAAAATCACCATTTTAAAGTGCACAATTCAGTAGCTTCCAGTATATTGAAAAAGTTGTGCAACCTTCACCACTAATTCCAAAACATTTTCATGAACCTCAAACCCATCAGCAGTCAAGTTGCAGCCTCTTTAGGAAAATGCAAAGGCAGCACTGGGCAGAACTACATTCTTTCTGTTTGTTTGTTTTGTTTTTGTTTTTGAGACAGGGTCTCACTCTGTCACACAGGTTGGAGTGCAGTGGCTCACTGCAACCTCTGCCTCTTGGGCTCAAGCGATTCTCCAGCCTCAGCCTCCTGAGTAGCTGGGACTACAGGCACGAGCCACCAACACCTGGCAATTCTTTTTTTTTTTTTTGTAGAGATAGGGTTTCACCAAGTTGCCCAGTCTGGTCTCAAACTCCTGAGCTCAAAGCAATCTGCCTGCCTTGGCCTCCCAAAGTGCTGGAAATACAGGCATGAGCCACCGTGCCCGACCTGGGCAGAACTACATTCTGGATGCATCTTAAACCTCACCTCAACCCTACACCCTCCCTTTTGTTGTTTCCTTTCTCCCCACAAGTCATCTCAGAATGAGGCTCCCAGCTCCAGGCTCCAGTTGCAACCTCACCCCCACCTAGACAAACCCTCAAATCAAGAAAAAGAAGCCCTGGCAGGGCGTGGTGACTCATGCCTGTAATCCCAGCACTGTGGGAGGCTGAGGTGGATGGATCGCTTGAGCTCAGGAGTTCAAGACCACCCTGGCTGGGCAACATGATGGAACCCCATCTCTACCAAAAATTTTAAAAAATTAGCTTGTTGTGGTGGTGTATGCCTGTAGTCCCAGCTCCTTGGGAAGCTGAGGTGAGAGGATCATTAGATCCTGGGAGATGGAGGTCGCACTGAGCCAAAATTGTGCTGCTGCACTCCAGTCTGAGTGACAGAGTGAGACGCTGTCTCAAAAAAAGAGAAAAGAAAAAGAAATCCAAAGGAAAAAAAGAGAGAGACAGAGAGAAAGGAAAAGAGAAAAGAAAAGAAATTTCTGTTGGCCAGGCCCGGTGGCTCATACCTGTAATTCCAGCACTTTGGGATAGGCCGAGGTGGGCGGATCATGAGGTCGGCGGATCATGAGGTCAGCGGATCGAGACCATCCTGGCTAACATGGTGAAACCCCGTCTCTACTAAAAATAAAAAAAAATCAGCTGGGCGTGGTGGTGGGTGCCTGTAGTCCCAGCTACTTGGGAGGCTGAGGCAGGGGAATGGTGTGAACCTGGGGCGCGGAGCTTGCAGTGAGCCGAGATTGCACCACTGCACTCCAGCCTGGGAGACAGAGCAAGACTCTGCCTCAAAAAAAAAAAAAAGAAAGAAATTTCTGTCTCAAAAAAAGAGAAAAGAAAAGAAAAAGAAATCCTAACACTCATCCATCCTTAAGTAAAAGCAACTCACCTTGTAAGTCAGTCTCCACATTTAATCCAACTACCCTACACTAGACATGATGGGTGAGGAGGATACAGATAGTTAGGAGGCCTTTGGCTACAAGTAACAGCCTCAAGTGGGCTAACGAACAAGGAAAATGTATTATTTCATATCACAAGAAGTTCCAAAGCAGGACTCCTCTGAAGGCAGTTAGTGTCTCAGCAATGGTGTCAGAGATGAAGTTTGTTTCTCTCTCTTGGCTCTGTCTTCCTCTGCCGGTCAGCTTCATCTTCAGGCAGCTTTCCTCATAGTCACAGAATGGCTGCTGCAGCTCCAGGTATCCCAACCCAAAACAACAATGTCCAAAAGCAGGGAAAAGATATTTCTTACTGTGTGTCATTTTAAGAGCCCCAAAAACTCTTCCCAGAAACCTTCTTGCACCCTTCAGCTGACCTCCCTCAGGCACATGTCACCCAGTTTAGGCCAATCCCTGGCAAGCAGAATGGGTCCCCGTGATTGACTTAGATCAGTCAGGATTTACCTCTGAGCAAGGTAGGGGAGGAGTAAAGACCAGAACAAACTGGGGGCCTCTGCCATCCTGGAGGAAGGGACCACCAGCAGTGTGAGCTACACTAAATCTAAACAGAAGCCTGTCTTCCAGAAGTTCAAAAACAGCAGCTGAGGCTGGGCATGGTGGCTCATGCCTGTAATCCCAACACTCTGGGAAGCTGAGGTGGGTGGATCATTTGAGGTCAGGAGTTCAAGACCAGCCTGGCCAACATGGTGAAATTCTATCTCTATTAAAACTACAAAAATTATCCAGGCGTGGTAGCTTGCATCTGTAGTCCCAGCTAGGAGGACTGAGGCAGCAGAATCATTTGAACCCAGGAGGCAGAGGTTGCAGGTTGCAGTGAGACAAGATCACTCCAGCCTGGGTGATAGAGCGAGACTTCATCTCAAAAAAAAAAAAAAAAAAAGAGCAGCTGATTGCCACAGAGGGAGGGAGTGGATGCTCACCGATCATTTTACATGTCCCAGGTGCCATTTCAAACACAGCAGCTATCACTCTGCTGAATAGGCAATTGTCTTTTTGAGACAAGTGTTATTATACCCATTTTGCAGTTGATGAAGCAGGTACAGAGAGGTTAGATAATATGCTCAGTGTCACATAGTAAGAGGCAGAGCTGGGATTCACTGGGGTTGTGGTAGACCTGGGCTCTAACGCAACCACTCAGAGAGGATTTCCCAGTCAGACATGTGAATCCCCATTCAGGCCTTATCTAGAAGCCAAGACAAAGGTGCATAAGAGGTGGGTCCTGCTGGGATGTGGGAAATGCCAGGCAGATGTCCCTGCTTAGCCCAAGGGCCCTCCAACGTCTGTGCCAGCTGTGCCTAGGCCCTTGCCAGTGAGGCAGCTGTGACCCCATTCCCAGCCCACTGGGCCTCCATCCATGTGATTAGGCTCCCAGGACTCAGGGCCCATAGCTGGCCACCCTGAGGTCCCAGCAATGACAGCTACTGGCCATACTGGTCTGTGGAGAAGGTGGTTAGTTGGCAGAGTTCTGGAAGGTGCAAACCAGGACTTCACTAGAAATTTCTTCACCATCTCCAAGGATATTATCAGGCTTGTTCTATTCTATCTCCCTAATGTGCCCCCACAAAAGTCTTCCCCGCAAGACCCCTGAGATGGAGAGAACTTCCACACCTCTGTTTTGTTTCGTTTTGTTTTGTTTTCTTGAGACAGTTTAGCTCTTGTTGCCGAGGCTGGAGTGCAGTGGCACGGTCTTGGCTCACCGCAACCTCCGCCTCCTGGATTCAAGTGATTCTCCTGCCTCAGCCTCCCAAGTAGCTGGGATTACAGGCATGCGCCACCATGCCCAGCTAATTTTGTATTTTTAGTAGAGACAGGGTTTTGCCACATTGGCCAGGCTGGTTTCAAACCCCTGACCTCAGGTGATCCGCCCACCTCGGCCTCCCAAAGTGCTGGGATTATAGGCATGAGCCACCATGCCTGGCCTGGTTTTGTTTTTTAAGGAAACATTTACGTATTTGGTCCTCTGATGAATGACTGTCCCCAGCAGATGGCAAGTTCCTTGCAGGCCAAAACCTGGGCTGCTTTTGCTCATCAGTGCTCAGCTGCCAAGGGGCAGCTGCACACAGAGTTGCTCCATGAAGATGCGTTGAAGAAATGGACCAGGTGAAATTCACAGAGCACCTACTGTGTGCATCAACCGGAGCTGGGTTATAAGGAAGAAGGCAGACTCCTTGAGGGTAGTCCCATTCCTCGTGGAGCCTTGTCCACAGCAGGCATGCAGTCAATGTGTGCGATGAGAAATACAGACACTTTCCGCCCTCAGAGCCCAGGCGGAAGGTGGGGGCCCATCGTGACTAAGGTTGGAGACAGAAGAGACCAAAGATGGCTCCAAGCCCCTCCTGGGTTGCAACCAGGGCTCCCTCCCCTTCCCTGCCTGCTTATGTCCCATACACAGGGGAGTGGAAGGAAAACTCAGGAGCTCTAGTTCCAGGTGACTGAGAGAAACCGTGGCAGCCACACACAGAGGTCTGGCTCTAACTCCTCAGGTAGGATCACAGCCATGCTAGGAGCTGGCCTTGGGTTAGAGCCCCAAAAGCCTTGGGCAGGCCAGCCATGTCCAGGGATGGGGCTCAGGGTTATGAGGCAATGGCAGAATAAAGGGGCACAGAGGGAGGCTGAAGAGAAAGAAAGGGAAGGAGAAAGAGGTGTGGCACATGGCTGGAGAGGCAGCACGAGGGGCCACCAAGCCCCAGATGCCCCCATGTGGCAGTGACTTCCCAACAGGCTGCCCACCCTTAATCTCATCCCACTGGAGGCAGCACAGGGTCCTATGAAAGGGACACAGGAACCAAGCGACAGAGCAGGGTAGCTGGGGTGGGTTGGAGTTGTAGGGGCCAGGGCCACTCAAGATAGGGGCACTGAGGACCCTGAGGGGCCACAGGGAGCCCAGACCTGAGTCAGTGGCCCTTCTATCTGAGACCTCGGCCCTGCCTGCTCCCTCTCCTCTGGGCCCATCATCAACAGTGTTTTCGAGGGGCTGCTAAGTGCTGGATCCCTCACCACTGGGGGTTCAGCAGTCTTGTGGAGGGAGTTTCTTTGTGGAGATTTCACAGTTGGAGACGGACAACATATGCAAGAAACTGAGCAGATATGTCTGCTATGTAGTATGTATAATCAGCCGGGCATGGGGGCTTACGCCTGTAATCCCAGCACTTTGGGAGGCCAAGGCGGGCGTACCACCTGAGGTCAGGAGTTCAAGACCAGCCTGGCCAACATGGTGAAACACTGTCTCTACCAAAAATACAAAAATTAGCCAGGCATGGTGGCGAGCGCCTGTAATCTCAGCTACTTGGGAGGCTGAGACAAGAGAATCACTTGAACCCAGGAGGTGGATGCTGCAGTGAGCCAAGATCACACCACTGCATGCCAGCCTGAGCGACAGAGCAAGACACCGTCTCAAAAAAATAATAATATGTGTAATCACATATTAATCACATCAGTGTCAGGGCTATGCTGGAAAATAAAGCTGAATAAGAGGCCTGACAGGACAGGGCTAGGGAGTGGCAAGGGGTCTGGAGGGGCCTCTCTGAAGTGGATATTTTGAAGTGGGTCTTGGAAGGGGACATCAGACAACATTATCCCGGATAAATCCTTCTGGAGAAGGCTCCTGGGCGCCTGAAGGGGGACTGCTTAGCAGACACTGACTGGGGCAGGAAGAGAGACCTGAGAGAGAGGCTTACTCCTTGCCTCAAGAGAAGAAGGAAACCCAATATTTTGTATTCACCATCCGCAGTCTGGCATTCCGTCAGCACCATTCTCATTTAACGCTGACAGCTCCCTACAAGGTGGAAAGTGTTATCTCCACTCCACAACCGAAGCCAGGGACTCAGAGATGACAGGCAACCGGCCAGTGCCCCCACCCCACCCCATTCCCTCCCTTCTAAAGGACTTTCACCGCAAATCGCTTTCCAAAATGCTCTGGGGAGGCCAGGCATGGTGGCTTGCACCTGTAATCCCAGCACTTTGGGAGACCAAGATGGGTGGGTCATTTGAGGTCAGGAGTTCAAGACCAGCTTGGCTAACATGGCGAAACCCTGTCTCTACCAAAAAAACACAAATTAGCTGGGTATGGTGGTGCATGCTTGTAATCCCAGCTACTTGAGCGGCGGAGGCAGGAGAACCACTTGAATATGGGGAGGTGGAGGTTGCAGTGAGCCGAGACTGCACCACTGTACTCCAGCCTGGGCGACACAGTGAGACTCTGTCTTAAAAATATAGGTCAGGAGTTCGAGACCAGCCTGGCCAACACGGTGAAACCCTGTCTCTACTAAAAATACAAAAAATTAGTCAGGCGTGGTGGCGGGCACATGTAATCCCAGCTGCTTGGGAGGCTGAGGCAGGAGAATCGCTTGAACCTGGGAGGCAGAGGTTGCAGTGAGTCGAGACCGCGCCATTGCACTACAGCCTGGGCAACAAGAATGAAATTCCACCTTTCTATATATATAATATATAATATATTATATATAAATATATATAATATATTATATATAAATATATAATATATAATATATAAATATATATAATATAATATATATAATATATAATATATAATATATGTGTTTATTATATAATACATATTTATTATAAATACATATTTATTATAAATACATATTTATTATAAATACATATTTATTATAAATACATATTTATTATAAATACATATATATATAAATACATAAAACTGAATGCCCTGGGGAGCTAGAGCTAAGACAGGAGGAACTACTGCCACAGGGAGAACCTCTCAGGTGCCCACAGCGGCCCCTGTGATCTCGGGATCCAGGAAGAACTGGTGACATCCGCCTGCCGCTGGCAGCCTCCCATATGTCAGCGGAAGAGGGAGGCATCCGCAGGGTGGATCTGGCGGTGCCCCAGTGCGCCCTGGACCGGCATCACCTGGGCCCGCTCGCCCTCCGCCTGTCTGGAGAGGAGAGGGGAGCCTGAAGCCATGCACCCCTTATCCCCAGCTAAGCTCCGGGATTGCGAGGTAGATTAAGGGCATTCACTCAGGAGGGCACCTGCTTAACCAAGATCCTCCGAAATCCGGGCTGCTCACCAGCAACAATTGAGGATGCCGGGCCCGCAGGGAGCGGAGTGGGACCAGGCGCGACCCCTTCCTCGCCTGCTGACCTCCCGCCTTGCTATCAGCACTGCCGCCAGGGGGCGCGCCCGCGCCGCTGGGCTCTGAGCCGACCTCCGCGTGCACCTGCGCTCCTTTGTGTGTTAGATTAACATCTGGTGCTTACCTACTATGCGCTTACTCGGTGCAGGTCAGGGGCTTCCTGCATTTCCAGGATGCAGCCTCTATGCCAGCAAACTAGGCTGGGCAGTGGAAAGAAATCCGATTTACTCCTGCGCCCACCACCCACGCTAGGGCCTTCCTGCTTCCAGGCTCTGCTGTCCAGCCTTCCAGTGGCCTCTAGGGAGCTCGCCTAAAACCGCTCTGCGGTTCCTACAGCTCCTAGGAGAAAGTTAAACGCCCTCCTCTCCAGGTCAGAGGCCTTGGAGCCCCCTATGTGCTCCCTTTGCACTGTTCCTCCATAAGCCCTGTGGTGTTAGGCCTTCGGCCCTTCGCACTTCCCCACCTGCTTCCCCGCTGCAACGGCTTCGCCTCTCCCTTTACCCCCCCAGGTTGGTCCGGCTCCCGACTCCCGCCTGGCAGCCCCAAGACCTGTTTCAAGCAAAAATGAATGGCACAGTGCCTGGATCGGAGATTTCCTCCTCCTTCCCCGCGACAGACGGGTAGCCCCATGAGGGCGGGCGGGGGCCTGGCCACCGGATTCTTTGTCTACACGGTGCCTCCGCAGGGGGTCCAGTGGAGCCTCACTGAATACACAGCGGCAGACTCTGAGCCCCGGGGGAGTGCACATCAAAAGGAACCTCCGAGCCAGCTAGAGAGAGGGGTTGGGTTGGGACTGGGGTCCCCTTCCCAGGTCTAAGGTCCCACACATTCACACACACAACAAAAAGTGCTTCCCACGTGCCACCCCATGTCCCCAGGTCCCTGGCCCTTGCTGCCTCTTCTGCCCTCTTCCAAGAGACCACCCTTCCTTTCAGGGCGATGGCCTCCTGGTCCACCGGCTGATGCCTCCACCCCGCCCTCCCTTCCTGGTCTTGGAGTGAATTTAACCCTTTCTCCACCAAGTGAAACCACCCTGGGGCTTGGGGTACCTGTTAGAGAGAGGGTGTTTCTATCTGTGATGTGTGGTCAGGGGCGCCCGCCCTCCCCTGAGAGAAACCATTCCTGCGTTTCCACCCGCGGCAGCGCAAGGGGTGCAGGAGGAAGGAAATTAAACCTGTGTTGAAGGAAGGACACCTGGGGGAAAGGAAGGGACTCAGGCTCCCCTTGTCTGAGGAGCTTTCAAGTGGCGGAAATCCCCACACACACCTCCATTCACTAGGGGCCTGGCAGGGCCGCTGGTAGGTTCCAGTCCTCTCCTCTGTCACTTCCCAGGCGCACATGGCCAGCTCCTAGATTCCACCCTTCAACCCACTTGTTTCCTGCCTGATGCACATGACCTGCGTCTGAGTTCTCCAGGCTGCCTGGAGGAGGCATTCAGGTACACATGACCCCTCAGGGAATGATGTTCTTGCCCACAGCACCCAGGATGCTGGCTGGGCATATCTCAGCCAACACACACTCCCACCGACAGCCTCGGATCTTTTGCTCCCACCTCACAGGGTTGGCACCTGTGGAGTCTTGAGGCCCAGTAATGACCCCAAGAAGCCATCAAGTCCAGGCCCTGTCGCCCCACCATACTGCATCCACAGTGGTGTCTGAGTGGCCAGGGAAGGTAGCCCTCCCCAGCTCTCAGCACCACTGTCATGGGGCTCTGGAACTCCCGAGCCCTTGGGCAGGACTCCAGCAGGCAGCTCTGATCAGAAAGCCACCTGGGAGCCCTGTGGGTGGGACAGGACTCCAGGTAGGACCTAGCAGGCCTCCATCCAAGAGGGAGGTATGTGGAAAGCTCTCCACTGCCAGAGCCTTGGTCCTGAGGCTCTGCATTCATGGCAATGGTAACCCTCTTTCCAGGTGAATCAGAAACAGGGCACCCCAGAATCAGCCCAGCCATGAGGAGCATCTCTAGGGATCCCCATCTCTGCAGCCCCCACCAGGTTCACCACTCCTGGTCAGGTTCACGATTTTTCTTCGCCTTGCAGCTCCTTGGTGCTCTCCGCCTCCCCCCTGCCCCTTTCTTCCTCACACCGGTGGCTCAGCCTCCCCCCGACAGTTTTCTTGGTTTCTGTCTCAGCGTCTCTCTCATCTCTGAGCCCCTCTCTCTCTCTCCTCCTCTCGGATTCTCCTTTTCCTCCCCTTCCTTCCTCTCTTTCAACCTCCCCTCCCACCCCCTCCAGTCCAGCAATGGGCTGGGAACGCAGCAGGAGCCATGACAAGCCCAGGCGGCTCTCCCGACCCTTGGTGCCCCCGAGGCCATTTCCCCGCGCTCCCTGTGCCGGCAGCAGCCGCGTGCGGAGAGGGCTCGCCGACCAGAAGGGGCAGCAGGTTGGAGCTGTGGGTACGGGGGGCTCAGATCAAAGGCCAGGAATGTCTGGCCCCCTGGCGTAAGACTTCCTTCAGCCATGGCCCTCACCTCGTGGAACGCCCGCCGTTCCAGGCCTCTGTGGGACTCGGGTCGGCTCATTCTCTGCCCTTTCTGCCACAGTTCCCTACACAGCGGTCCCTGCTCCCCACCGGCAGTGCTTCCTTCACCCCAGACCGGGGCTGCGCAGAGTCCTGGTGCCTCAGGTGGCCTGGGAGGGGGCCTAGGGAAAGGCACCCAGGTGACCGGGCGTGAGTCCCCAAAACCTGACCATGATGTCAATACCACCCAGGGCTGAGACCTAATTCCTCGCTCTGGAGAGGGAGAGGAGAGGAAGCAAGCCCGAAGGGGGCCTGGAAGGACTCCTTTCCTGTGGGGAGGGGTGGGTAACTGGAGGCATTTGGTGTCCGCACAGGGCAAGGGCCTTTATCGCCAAACCCCAGGCTGGAGCTCCCTATCAGTAGAACCGGGGCCTCAGGCGGGACGGTCGGGCAGTGAGGGGCGCTCCGGAGGGCAGCAAGGTCTTCCAAGGACCTGGGCCGCCCTCGGCCAGAGCTGCGCGTTTCACCGGTCCCTGATGGTCCAACCGAGAATCCCACTGAGGCTGTGGGTCACGCCTCCGACCCGGGCCAGAGGTCGGGCCTGAACCCCTCAAGGAGGAGAAAGTGACCCGACTCCGAGAGCAGGAAATGCGACTGGCCGCTGGTGTCAGTTGCAGGAAATGCAAAGGCAGCAGGAGGTCCCGATACCGATCTGATCCCTGACAAAAGACTCAAATGACACTCGGCTCCGTCCCCCGGCGCCGCCCGCAGCCAGACCTTCGAGCCTCCGCGGACTTTTCCGCACGTTCCTCGGACACCCGGGAAGTGACCTCCCGCGGCCAGGACGAGAGGCCAGAGAGCGGGCGGACTCGGGAGGCTGGAAGCTGGGAGGGGGTGCGTTCCCCCACCCTCTGATCCTGACCTGCCCGAGCGGGGCTTCTGGAAACATCCCTGTGCTTTCTACCCTCGATTCCTCGCGGGCCCACGTCCCAACGGGTCACGGTCCCCGCCAGCAAAGGAGCCACCCGTTCATGCCCACGCCAAGCCCTCGCCATGTGAACGCCCGGGTCAAAGCCCCCGCGCCCTAACCCTGGCCAGCGGGGGACCGCGGCGGTAGCAGAGGGTCCGGCCCACCGCGTCCCCCCGAAGCCCCGCGGCGTCCGGGGCGCGGGCTTTGCCCAAGTTTGCTGGGCGATGCCCTTCCCGGAGCCCGAGTTGTGGGCCGGGCGGGAGGGGCGCGTGATTGACAGGCTGAACTACAGACTCATCTCTTACCTTAGGCCGCGGGCGCTGATTGGCTGCTCGCTGACATCCTCAAACCCGGCTGCTCCGCGCTGGGCTCGGGAGGGGGGCGGCTGCGGGTGGAGGTGCGCTTCTGACAAGCCCGAAAGTCATTTCCAATCTCAAGTGGACTTTGTTCCAACTATTGGGGGCGTCGCTCCCCCTCTTCATGGTCGCGGGCAAACTTCCTCCTCGGCGCCTCTTCTAATGGAGCCCCACCTGCTCGGGCTGCTCCTCGGCCTCCTGCTCGGTGGCACCAGGGTCCTCGCTGGCTACCCAATTTGGTGGTAAGACTCGCCTCTTGTCTGCCCGCGGCCCGGTTTCTCCGCCGCGTCCGGGGAAGGTGGGGGCGCCGGCTGGGGGTGGGCCGCTGCAGGGCTGGGGCTCCTCTCCTCGCCTCCCTCCAGCCCCCCACCCGCCCACCCCTCCTGGATTTTCTGCTGGTGTCGCCTTCAGAATCCAACTCCTGGCTCCTCTGATAATCACCATTTTCCCTGCTCCCCGCTGCAGGGGCTGGAGGACTTTTCCCATCTCAGAAGGTTTCTTATTCTTAGATCCTAACCCTCTGCCCGTCCCAATCTAGAGGCCCCCGAAGACCCCCCATTTGCTTGCAGTTGGGTTTCTGGAAATCCAGCACTGTCCCTGGGGCCCAGCCACTCCTCTTCTCCATTTTGGGGTCTTCATGGGCAAAACCATCCTGTTCCTTCACTGCCACCCCACCTCTGCCGGCGCCTCCATCAAGAGATTCCCCATAATAACCCCCCTTTGCCTTCCTATTTCAGACCCCAAAGGCTTCAGGGCTCCTCCCGGGGCAGGGGAGTGGGTGGGGGGATTTCATCAGATTCTCCCCACCGCTCTAGATTCATCTTGAGCCTCTGAAGTGAATATGGTATTTGCTGATCCGGGATGCCATTGAATTCGGATTTTATTCATTTCTTGCTTGTCCACCCTGGCAAAAGGGGGGTTCCTTGAAAATGTGTTGTCTGGGAGGGGTAGGCTTGTTGTTCTTTGACCAAAAATCCAATTCTCCATGTCACATTTCTTCCTTTTGGAAAACCGAGGACCGAGGAGAAAGGGAGAGGGAAGGGAGAATTCCGTCCCTGAGAAATGTGGATACAAAAGACATTTTAGTAAATAAGACTGGGAAGCCGGGAGCAGTGCTTGGGGGGGGCTGTGCGTGTCTGGGGGGCCTGGGTGAGGAATAAACATCGCTTTGGGAGCCCCAGCTCCAGGAGTCCCCTTGTTTTCCGAGCGGCCCCATCGCCGCTCTCCCACCCTCCGCAGGTCCCAGGGGCCAGAGGGGAAGACACTGAAACCAGTTCTCTAAATTACACTCCGCCTCTCCCCAGTCTCCAGCCCCCTACATTCCGGAAAACTTTAATTAAAGAATCTTCCCCTCCTGGACATAGGAGAGCCTTGGCCTGGGCGGGGGGAGGTGAGGAGGAAGAATTTGGGATCTGTGAGTGAGAAGTGGGCTGTGGCCCCCGGGGTGAAAGTCAGAAAGAAGTGCCACCACGGTGCGGTACCGCCTGCAGGTCCCCAGACTCCCTGCCTTTCGCCAACCCAGAGTCCAGGGTAGGAGGAGCAGAGACAGCGAGACTTGGGGGCCACACCCCGAGTCTTCCAGTTGTTTGGGGATGGCAGCATTTGTGTCTGGGTGTTTGGGGCTCCTGGGAGAGAGGGTGGGGACATGGCCAAGGGTCTCTGTTTAGAGGGTGCTAGGAGTTGCTCCCAGGACAGCCAGCCAAGGGGAAGTCTTTCTTCTGCCCAACCCACACTTTTCCGGGGGGCTGGGCTAACCTGAGGCTTCCAGCACATAAAGAAGTCCATGGGGTGGCCAGGGCAGCCAGGGACTTCAGGAAGGAGGTTCGGCCAGTCTGGGGAAAGGCTGCTGCCAACACCAGTCCAGCCTCACCCGGCCATTCCTGACCCTCTTCCCATTCCCGGGCCAAGGCCATGCCGTTTTTCGCCTTGCTTTCGCAGAGACTCTGGTGGGTTGGGGGAGGGTAGGAAGGAAAGGTTTGGCGGCCCATAGGTGGCAGGGACTGAGGAAGAGAGACCAGTCTCTCCGGCCCTATGAACTAGAAGAGGGCACTCTTCCAGTTGGTGTAGATTCTGGTGTGAAATGGTATCTTGGGGACCATCTAGATAGGGATTGCCCAATAGGAAGAAACGCTGGGGAAACCTGGAAGGTCAAGACATTGGCCCTAACATAATGCTAGACACATGGCTTGTTTGGGAATTTGGTGGGGGACAGGAATGCTGCTTTGTCTAAGCCAAGGAGAGAGGTGTGTGTGTGTGTGTGTGTGTGTGTGTGTGTGTGTGTGTGCGTGTGTTCTGGGTCTATGACCCTAAGAGGTGTTTTCTATACACCAGTGTGTCTCTGTGTGCAAAAGTGTTTGTGCCTGCAACTGGGCTACTATGGATGTGAAATCGTGTGGGCGTGTTGGGGGATCCATGCCCACGACAGGTTGTGCTGTGTGTGTCTGCACACGAGTGTGAGCAAGTGGCTGGTGCTGTGATGTGTGTATGTACATGTGTAAGAGACAGAGAGAAGTCTAGAAGTATCTTTGCCCATGTAAAGGTCAGAGCCTGTGTCTGCCTGTGACGCTGGGCTTGACTGTGTTCATGACTGGGCATGTGAGTGTGTGTGTGCGTGCGTGCGTGTGTGTGAGTGTGTGTGTGTGTGTGTACGTGCGCGCGCATGCCTTCATGACAGTGTGGGGAAAGCCCCACAGATGTCTTTGTGCATGAATATCAGTGCTCATGGCCATGACCTGATTGTGCTTGTAAGGAGGAGAGTGAGCCTCAAGTCCATAGCTGTGTGAGGGCTGTGTCTGAGTCCGCCTGTGATCCTGTCCCCAGGTGCTGGGCCCAGGGCTGTGTGGCTGTGAATATCTTTGCAGACATCTACCTGTGGGTATGAATGACACCTGAGCTTGGGTGTTTGGTGGGCAGCCATGGGCCTGGAGGGAAGGTCCAACAGGAAGCAAAAGTCTCACAAGGTGGCTGCAGGGGGCACAGCTGGCCAGGGATGGCAAGCTAGAGAGGCAGGGGCACAGGCTTCCTTGACACCAGCTTGTCCTGTCTGTCCAGGCACTAGAGTCACTGGCCCTTCTCTCTGAGGTTGTTTTTCTTTGGTCTTGGAGCTGGGGTGGAGGGTGAGTCACCTTCTCAGGGTTAGGGCTGGGGCTGTAGGGTAGATGGGCCTCTGATTCCTGATCCCATTTCTGCCCCCACTCCCCAACCCAGCCCCCCGCCTGGCAGTCAGATTCCAGTACTTTGAGCATCTAAGCCCATCTTGGCCTGCCCTCTTTGGCCCACCCAGCTCATGCATTCCCCAGGAAGGATTTACAGGGGAAGTCATGTAGCTGGGATTTCTGTCCACGCGGACCCTCAAGCATGACACCCTGAGTCCACACTGCTCAGACCCCAGTCCTGACAGAAGGTTGACCAGAAGGGACAGCTCTAAGGGGCCTCAGACTGACACCCCTGGAAGGAAGAGATGTTCTCCAGGTAGTGACAGAGCCGGGACAGGAAACAACAGCACTGATTTCTCGAATTCCCCTTGTCAGTCCCAGTTAGCTCCTGGTGGAGAAACTTGTCTTTCTTCTTCTTCTTGGGGGCGCTGGGGTGGGGGGATGAACCTATGTTATTAGGGCCTAGCCCAGCACCTGCTACATTCCAGCGATGGACGTGCAGATGGAGGGGGCCTGCTGGAGATCAGGAGCTCACCCTGCCGCTGTGTGACTGAGGACCAGTGGCCACCCATCTGGGTCTGCTTCCTTACACTTCACCCAGGAGTCCCCAGCCTGCCCTGCCTCACAGCTTGGGTGAAAATGTTTTGCAGAGGACAAGGGCAGTGAGCTGGGAAATAGCACACCTGAGTTCTCGCCATCCCAGGACCCATCCTCCCACTCGAGCACCTGCCTAAGACCTACCTCAGTTTCCCCATCTGTCAGATGTCCTGCTGCCTCTCCCACCCACTCCCACCTCCACCCACCTTTCAGAGGCTTGTGAACATGTTCAGTCAAACCCCGTGGGGGTCAGTGGGCTGGGCCCAGGGAGGCACCTGGAGACTGCGGGGGAGGAAGGCCCCAGGCCAGGTGTTAACACTTGTAACAGGCAGGAATTACAGCTCGCTGGGGCTGGGCTGGCTGGGGCTGGTGAGGAGCTGAGCTAGCTGGAGGCTGTTGATCCCACAGACAGACAGACAGACAGACAGATGGGCAGATACCAGATCGGATGGCCAGGCTTTAACCGGGTGGTCTCCCTTCCAGGGCAGACCTTTCCCTGGGGGGGATATGGCGGGGAAATTAGTCCAGGTCTCTTGGAAGTTAACAGCCCTCCCGCTCACCCCGCCCCCATTATGGGTGGGGCTTCGGAGTCCAGAGGGAGCAAAATTGGTGGCCGATCTGTTGGTATTCTTCCGATAGGATCACATTTTGCTTAAAAAGAAGAAAACAGGTCAAACGTTATAATAATACCAAGAGCCTGAGCTGAGTTATGTCCTTAGAAGAACCTGCTGTAATATGTATGTGGATGGCATGGGGGAAGGGGACGCTCTCAGGGAAAGTTCTAGACTCTCAGAGCATTTTGTCAACAGCTCCGGGGCCAAGAGGTGAGAGATGGGTGGAGTCTGAGTATCACCCCCACCTCCACCCCAGGGATCCTGAGGGCTTGGGTCTGTGATGTCTGCCCTGCAATTAATCCTGGCCTGGTGGGAAGACCTTTGGCGATGAGGTCAAAAGAGGCAGGAGCTGGACTTTGGTGCCAAGTCCTTTAGGAGGTGCTTGCTGCAGCTTCACCAGTGGCAAACCCAGCCAGGCCCTACCAGGGCCCACACTCTGGCATCTGGATACATGCTCAGTCACTGACAAAGGTGGAGAAACTGAGGCAGACAGCGAGGGCTCTGGGTGGAAATCTCCAAAGAATGCACTCAGCCTAGCAAGCATCTCTCATCCTCCTCACTACAGAACTTAATGCTAATAAACATTAATGGTACTTGGGCAGATGTAGAATTGGAAGAAGTCTCTCCTTGGTCTGGGCAGGAGACAAGGAGCCAGGGGATAAGGAGCCAGGGGATGGCACAGGAAAGGTGACTTATCACAGAGGAGGATGCAGCTAACAAACCCTTCCAGGGAAAAGGAAGTGGGAAAAAGGAAGATTTTTCTGGTCTCAGAATGTGATGAGCCAGGAGTTGAGCAGAACCTTTTCCACCTACCCTGATGTGAGCCACAGAAACCTTCTCCAGCTGCCAAGGAGGGCAAGACATCCTCCACCCCTCATTCCTAACTCAGGGAGGAGGTATGCCTAGCCCCACCCCCACCCCCCGCCAAAGGTTAGAGCCATCCTGATATTACATCTGTACATCCATGTTATCTTGTATGCTGGAAAATGGTGAGAGTGGGGAGATGGAGAGACCTATGTCTGAATTCCAAGTTTAATACCAATGGACCCTGTGACCTAGGATGAGTCCCTTCCCTTCTCTGGGCTTCATTCAAGTCCCTGCCTCCTTCTGGGCTTCATTTTCCTTAACCACATGGAGGGGTCCCTTTTGCCTCTCAGAGTCCCAGGGCTATGACAGGTTCTGGGCTCGTTGCTGTGAAGCATGACACTCTACTGCACACATTCCGGGCCTGTATTAGACAGTCCACCCGTTTCTTTCTGTGGCTCCATCTGACCTAAATCGCAAAGAGCTGGCTGCCCCACTCCTGCCAAGCCAACCTGCTTGCACTTCCAAACCTCGCCCCAAACACTCCCACTCTTCTGGAGCCAGGCCATCTGCATTCACATCTGGCTTTTTCATGTACTACCTGGGTAACTAGGGCAAGTTAACCTCTGCAAGCCTCAGTTTCCTCATCTGTAAAATGAGTGTAATGATTGCCTCTATTTCATAGGGTTTTGAAAATGATTGAGTGAATACTTCTTAGAATGATACCTTGCATACAGGAAGCATATCGATGTTAGCTATTTTCACCTCCTATCTGCAAGCTATTGGCTCACTGAAGCCCTGGAGCCAAACTTGCCTCTTCCAAGAAGCCCTCCCAGATTTGCCCCACCTGGCTCTGTTTTCCCCTTTTCTTCTTTTTGCCTGTTTGCCCCACAGTGCTTTAGCTTTATTCTTAAGTTGAGGGTGCTGGGCCAGGCTAATCTCACTTCAGCTCTTTACCTGCTCAGGAAGGGGAGGGCAGGGTAGAGAAGGTTGCTGGAGTGTCCCCTAATCATTCCCCGACCCCCAGAGTCTGCCAGACTCTTGCTGGGACCTAGAGCCAGGGGGCTGGGCACAGAAGGGGTGGGGGAGGCAGGCTTCCCAGGGGGAGTGGCACCAGGGCCGCCCAGAGCAGCCTGAGCAGAAGTTGCTTCTCTAGGAGCTGAGAGATGATTCAGAAGGTGATTTATAGTCGGAAGGCAGAAAGCTTGGCTCCTGGCAGAAGCTGCTGCTTAATTACATTCTTGGGGCGGGGGTAGGGGGGTGGAGGTATGTGTGGGGAGGCAGCAGGGGCCAGACTTCTGCCTCCTCCCCATCCAGGCCCTCCCTGTCCCTTTGGCTGTCCCGGCTCTAAGCAGGGTCCTTCTTTATCCCGCTGCCAGAGAGGGAATTCCCTGCTCTCAGTGAGAGGCTAGGCCAGGATTGCAGGAATAGCTTCTGGGAGTGGAGAAGGTGGGAAAAGAGGAAGGAAGCTGGATCCCATCTCCCGGGACTTCTCCAAGGGAGACTGGATGGCGACGGGCTGGAAAACGGGCCTTCTGGGAAGGAGCACTGGGTCTCCTCCCTGCTTCTGGGCAGCGGAATAGCTAAGGCACCTGGGCAGAGTTGAGTTTCTTTCTTTCTTTCTTTTTTTCTTGAAACAGAGCCTTGCTCTGTCGCCCAGGCTGGAGTGCAGTGGCACAATCTTGGCTCACTGCAACTTCTGCCTCCCGAGTTCAAGCAATTCTCCTGCCTCAGCCTCCCGAGTAGCTGGGATTACAGGTGCGCACCAGGATGCCTGGCTAATATTTGAATTTTTTAGTAGAGATGGGGGTTTCACCATGTTGGCCAGGCTGGTCTCGAACTCCCGACCTCAGGTAATCCACCCGCCTCGGCCTCCCAAAGTGCTGGGATTATAGGCGTGAGCCACCGCACCCAGCCAGAGTTTCTAGAATCTTCTGAGAGGCAACTCCACGCTCTCCTTCGGGCACCCTGTCCTGCTGCTGCCTGGGAGGGCCTGCCTGCAGGTTTGCTCCTTTTCTGTTGCTCAGGTCTCAGTGGGCCATGGGGGCTGGAGAGAAGGTCCTGCGCTCAGAGGCTGAAACCCGGTTCTTCAGCGTTAGGCAGCCTGTCCCTCGTGAGCACAGTGGCTACCCCAGGTGCACAACGGTTCTGCCAGCAGGCACGGCCCCATACCCTCATGTCAAACTAATATCTCAGAGAGTCACCCCAATGCCACTGGGTGCAGCTACAATCACTTCCGCGCCATTGACAGGAGCCCCCATTCTGTTTCCATACCTGCTGAGTTGACATCAGCATTTCCCTTTTGCAGCCTGGCCTGTACAGCCGGGAGGAGTTGGCAGGGGTCAGGATGGGGACACTAGACAGCTCTCTGGTTCCCCCTGAGGCGGGCCTTCTCAAAATGGCCTCATTATGTGTGTGGAGTGAATTCCAGAAATGTCAGGCACACCCATACATCTAGGGAATGAAGGAGATGCCAGAGCGGGCTCTGGGGCGAGAGGGGCCAGTGTGAGGAGGTGGGCGGCTTCCGGGCAGGGAGTTAGGGCACCTGAGACCTGGCTCTGCCACCATCTTGATATTAGGCAACTTCCTGAACTGTTCTGAGTCTCAGTAACTAGGAGAGTTGGATAAGCTGCTGGCCAAAGACTTCCAGCTCCGAGATTGCAGTCATGGAGGCTGTATTCCGCGTTCAGGTCACCCAGCTATTTGGACCATCTGTGCCTGGTGGAGGGGGTGGTCACTGAAAGCTGGTCTCAGGGAAGGGTGGGGGGTGCAGAGCTCTAAACTCTACACACAAAGAGCTGTGAGACAGTGGATGAGTCTCCTCCCTCCCTCAGTTTTCTCATCTGCAAATTGGATGATGATAATAACACGACCACCTGCCCTGCCTGCTTGCAGGGCCGTGAAGAGCTTCAGGTGGAATAATCTTTGTGGGCATGCCCCGTGACCAGTTGGCCTCAGACCTGAGGCCTCTGTGCCCTCTGCCAGGGGCTCTCCATTGAGCATCAGGACCCCTACAGGAAGGAGCTGAGGACTCCTTCCTGAGGACACTTGGGAAGTGTCAGGTTCTTTCCAGAGAAGTTAACTATCACTGTGAGTCCTAGAAAAGAGGAATAAGAAGGCTGGGCATGGGGCTTACGCCTGTAATCCCAGCACTTTGGGAGGCCGAGGCGGGTGGATCACCTGAGGTCAGGAGTTTGAGGCCTGCTTGGCCAACATGGTGAAACCCTGTCTCTACTAAAAATACAAAAAATTAGCTGGGCGTGGTGGTGGGAGCCTGTAATCCCAGCTACTCGGAAGGCTGAGGCAGGAGAATCGCTTGAACCTGGGAGGCGGAGGTTGCAGTGAGCCGAGATTGCACCACTGCCTTCCAGCCTGGGCAACAAGACCAACACTCTGTCTCAAAAAAAAAAAAAAAAAAAAGAAAGAAAGAAAAGAGGAGAGGAATAAGAGCTAGTCCCTGCTCAGACAGTGCTAAGAATGGACCTAAGAGCCCCCCTGAGCCTCTGAGCTTGAGGAGTTGATATTTCCAGCAGAGGAAGAAGTGGGGCTGGACAGGGGAGTCCTCAGCTCCTTCCTGTAGGGGTCCTGATGCTCACTGGAGAGCCCCTGGGAGAGGGCACAGAGGCCTCAGGTCTGAAGCCAACTGGTCACGGGGCATACCCAGGTTCACAGCTCAGGGCATGGGGCTTGGTTATCCTCCTGGCCTAATGCAAAAACCACTGGCCAGACCCAGAGTGAGATTTCCAACCAGGGACACATGGGAAGATGTAGGTGGAGGTGAGGGGGGCGAGGGCAAAGGGCTGCCAGCTGGAAGGGGCTCTGCTGAGGCCTGTAGTCATCAGGGAATCCTAATGGCCTGGGTAAGGCCTAGCAAACTAGGAGACAGGCACAAGCCATTCCCTCCAGCTCGGCTGGAAAAACTGCGAGGACTGAGTGTGTGTACGTGTGTGTTGGGGAGGGGGATGGGAGCAACAGGACCAAGCACCCAGGTCTGTCTGGAAGACCTTTCTGGGAAACCTGCCCCTGGGCACAGAGTCCCACTTATCTGCCAGAGCCAGCTGGGCCGGCAAGGAAAACCAATCTCGCAGGGCCCATTAGGAATGCAAATAGGGCTTGTGCTGTGAGTGAGCAGGATCCCGCCTCCTCTCCAGCTCCCACCAATCATCTTCACAAGGTGGATTGCTGAGGGTGCCACTCCCCTGCTCTGACACCTCCCATGGCTCCCCTCTTCCTATCTGGTACTGAGGCTCCCTATGATTTCACTTCTGTCCACCTGCGCAGTTGTAACTTTCACAAACCCCCTCGATCCCCCCAATAACCCACTTCAACTGGAATACTCACCTCTTTGCTTGTTCATTGAAATACTTCCACCTCCTCTCTCTGACTTTAAAAGGCAGCCCAACCTGGGGCCTGTTGACCTGGGGTCAGTCTGCTCTGCGCTGCTCAGCTCGGACCCCACTTGGCTCAGGTCATGTAGCTAACAGCCCTGAACTATGGAGGGTCCTTAGAGGGTCTCTCAAGGTGGATGGGCCCCTCGACCTGAGCAGGCTGCTGTCCCAGGAGTGGAGATGAGCCTTTTCTCCACAGTGTCAATTCCCCTGGGTTTCTTTTTCTTTTTTTTTAATCCCAGTTCCACTTGTAAACGTTTCCTATTTGTGTACTATTTCCCCCTCCATGTTCACCAGTTCACACGATGCTTAAGTGTCTAAGTCATTAATTTTAAGATTGCAATTGGCAGAAGTTGTTTCTCTATCTAGGAACAGGTTAATACGTTTGTTGACCATGTGCTATGTGCTGATCCCCATGCAGACATCATGATTTATCTGAATCTAATTCTTGCCAGTTTATAGATAGGGAGTCCCACAGTGCAGCCTGGGCATGGCATGGGAAGCCCTGAGCCCACACCCTGTTGGACCTAAAGCCTTTTTCCTTCTACCACCATTCAGGCTCAGTTGTGGACTTGTTATTGGGGTAAAAATTTGCTTGTTCATATTCTACTTTGTTCCCCAAAGGATGGTTTTGAGACAAGTTTACACTTGACCTTCCACTCAAAGGCTGATGCTTTGGGCTTATAGATACTATTTGTGAACGTCTGGGAAGTCTCTTATTTGGGGATGTGTCCTCTTCACTGGCCACCTTTCCACAAGCCATCAGGCTGTCCTCAAGCTGGGATTGCACAGTTGCTGACAGCAGTGGCCATGTGAGGATTTTGTTGCCCCTGGGATGGGTAAGGGGCGACCTTGATCAAATCACTGCCTCCCGGGCCTCAGTTTCCTCATCTGTGAAACAGAAAGGGTAGCGTAAATGACCTCTCAGATTCCTTCCAGCACTAAGCTCTTTCCTTCTACTTAGTCCTTTTTGCTGCTTTGCATCTGGTCTCCATCATATACGTGCTAGAAAGCAGCTGGGCAGAATCTTCTTTCTTGCCCTAGTCCAATTCTTGTGTTGGTATCTCTGAAACAGCCAATTGTTCATTTCACTTTTACAATTCGACCTTCAGCTTTATTTCTCCCCGAGGAGCCAGCATGCTTTCTCCTTTCTGATAAAGCATGCTTCCCTTTATGTCCTGGCTATGAGAAAACTCAGAGGTCCACCTGAAGCCACATCCTTGCACCCGTGTGGACCTTCCCTGATCCTGCTCTTCCGTTTTTATTTTGTTATTGAATCTGATGTGTTTTCCGTCATCAGCCTCTTGAGGGCAGACATGTTGGAGTCTTTGTACCTGGCCTGGGCATAATGGATCCTCAATAAAGACTTGTCTTTGGGATACACATTTGCTGTCAACCTCTTCAAATCCTTTCTGGAAAGAAGCAAGGCACATGCGAATTAAAAAGCAAAATAAACATTGCTCTGGGAGGGAGTTGGTCCTGACTGGATAGTTTTGAGTTATGAGAATTCCAGTCTGCTTCTGTTTCTTTTTTTTCTGTTTATTTATTTACTTAGAGATGGAGTTTTGCTCTTGTTGCCCAGGCTGGAGTGCAGTAGCATGATCTCGGCTCACTGCAACCTCCGCCTCCCGGGTTCAAGCAATTCTCCTGCCTCAGCCTCCCAAGTACCTGGGATTATAGGCATGCGCCACCACACCCAGCTAATTTTGTATTTTCAGTAGAGATAGGATTTCACCATGTTGGTCAGGCTGGTATCAAACTCCTGACATCAAGTGATCCACCTGCCTCGGCCTCCCAAAGTGCTGAGATGACAGGCGTAAGCCACCAGGCCCGGCCTTCTTTCTGTTTCTTTACTGTCAGCTTTTCCCCAAGTCTACAAAGGTCTTGTCTTCAGAGAAGTCGCCTCTTTTTTTTCCTCCATGATCTTCTCCACTCTAAAGCTGAGGTTGGTTCCTAATCTTCCTCTAGGGACTGTCTCTCGTTCCTGGCCAATGACTATGTCCACCCCTACCCCTGGCTCCCTTCACAACTGGTTCCTCCCACCCTCCCTTGCCTTGGAAGCCGACGGTGCTATTGCCACCATTCCACAGGTGACGGAGTGCCCAGGTAGCACCCACCCTCTCTCCAACAGAGCTGCTCCCGTCCCCAGCAGCCATCGTGAGGGCCAAGCCCCACTCTGCAGATGGAGCCCCAAGGAGGAGCAGAGGGGAGCGGCGGCCAGGGATCTCCCCATTCACCCAGCAAGGTGTCCTCACAACTCTAACCGGCTCTCCCCTCCCCTCCGCTTCTGCCCTTGGGCAACACATGTGCAGGTCACCCCACCCAGTCCCTGACTTCGGAGGAGAGAATGTCTAGCCTCAGGCTGGGTGGTTCTCCATCTTAACTGAAGCTTCCATAGGGGATTCTGGAGCCTTTCTCTGCTACCAGTAAGGATGGAGTCTGTGACCTCTGCACTGTCCTGGAAGCTAAAGCAGCCTCGAGAAAGCAGCCTCTTCATCCCCATGTTACCTGTGAGAAAACTGAGGCTCAGCTGGGCGCGGTGGCTCACGCCTGTAACCCCGGCACTTTGGGGGACAAAGGCAGGCAGATCACCTGAGGTTGGGAGTTTGAGGCCAGCCTGACCAACATGGATAAACCCCAACTCTACTAAAAATACAAAATTAGCCGGGCGTGGTGGCACGTGCCTGTAATCCCAGCTACTGGGGAGGCTGAGAAAGGAGAATCGCTTCAACCGAGGGCTGAAGTTGCGGTGAGCTGAGACCTGGCCATTGCACTCCAGCCTGGGCAATAAAAGCGAAACTCTGTCTCAAAAAAAAAAAAAAAAAAAAGGAAAAGAAAAAGAAAAAAGAAAAAAAGAAAACCGAGGATCACAGGACCCAACCAGGAGCTGTAAGGAGCTCGGAAGCAAGTGGGCGGCTCCAGTGGCAGCTAGTAATTCCTCGCTTATGATGTCCCGGGTATCACATACATTGAGGAAACAAAGCACACACATTAGCTCATCCTCCCGACAACCCCAGGAGGCAGAGACTCTTGTTATCCCCATTCTACAGATGAGAAACTGAGGCCCTGAGGCACCATTCCATTGCCGAAGGCTCCATGGTTGGTAAACCCCAGAGCTCTAAACAAGAGACAAACTGCCTGAAGCCAGGCCCTTCAGTGACACCACACCACACCACAGCCAGGAAGTTCCTCCTTAGATCTGACTTCAGTCTTTCCTTAATCCAGGCCCAGGTTTTCTTCCTGGGGATGTGAATATCACTGTCAAGTTTCAGTTTGGTTTGGTTTGAGACAGGATCTTGCTCTGTTGCCCAGGCTGGAGTGCAGTGGTACAATCACAGCCCACTGTAGCCTCAATCTCCTGGGGTGAAGCTATCCTCCTGCCTTAGATTGCCAAATCACTAAGACTACAGGCAAGCACCATATGTGGCTAATTTTTTTAATTTTTATTTTTATTTATTTTTGAGACAGAGTTTTCACTCTTGTCACCCAGGCTGCAGTGCAATTGCAAGATCTTGGCTCACTGCAACCTCCACCTCCCCGGTTCAAGCGATTCTCCTGCCTCAGCCTCTCACGTAGCTGGGATTATAGGCGCCCGCCACCACACCTGGCTAATTTTTGTATTTTTAGTAGAGATGGGATTTCACCATGTTGGCCAGGCTGGTCTCAAACTCCTGACCTCAGGTGACCCGCCCACCTCAACCTCCCAAAATGCTGGGATTACAGGCGTGAGCCACTGTGCCCAGCCTTTTTTCTTTTTTTTTGTAGAGATAGCATCTCCCTACATTACTCTTGCTTGAACTGGACTCAAACAATCCTCCTGCCTCAGCCTCTCAAAGTGCTGGGATTCCAGGGGTAGGGTTCCAGTTTGCACTTGAGGACCAGGGTTCGTCTCATCCCTGAATCTTCCTGTGTCTGGAGTTGGTTCCTTCCAGTGGGTTCGTGGTCTCACTGACTTCAAGAATGAAGCCACGTACCTTTGCGGTGAGTGTTACAGGTCTTAAGGACCCCAAGAGTGAGCAACAGCAAGAGTTATCCTGAAGAGCAAAAGAACAAAGTTTCCACAGCATGGAAGGCGACCCAAGGGGGTTGGTGCTGCTGGCTTGGGGGTGGGGGGGGTGGGCGGGGAGGCAGCTTTTATTCCCTCATTTGTCCCAGCCCATGTCCTGCTGATTGGTCCATTTTACAGAGTGCTGATTGGTCCATTTTACAAACCTCTAGCTAGCTACAGAGCACTGATTGGTGCATTCTTACAGAGCACTGATTGGTGCATTTTACAAACCTCTTGTAAGACAGAAAAGTTCTCCAAGTCCCCAGTTGACCCAGGAAGTCCGGCTGGCCTCATCTCTCATTCCTTCTCTAGAACAATTCCTCCCAGGTGACCCATCCTCTACTCACCTTTAACTACTTGTTCTTCCTCTTCTGATCTCTTACCAGCTTTTCTACAACTTCCTGCAAGTCCTATAGCCACAGAATTGCCTTTAAATCAGGGAAAGAGGGGGCCTGCCATCAGCTCTCTGATTTAGAGGCTTCCGTCTGGTGTCTTACAGCACTTCCCTTCCCCATAGGGCAGGGAGTCTGGAATCCAGCATGCCTGCCCTCAAGAGGCTTATGACGGAAAACACATCAGATTAAATAACAAAATAAAAACAGGCTAGTTGTGGTGGCTTGCGCCTGTAGTCCCAGCACTTTGGGAGGCCGAGGCAGGCAGATCACTTGAGGTCAGGAGTTCGAACCAGCCTGGCCAACATGCTGAAACCCCGTCTCTACTAAAAATACAAAAATTAGCCGGGTGTGGTGGCACGCACCTGTAGTCCCAGCTGCTGGGGAGGCTGAGGCAGGAGAATCGCTTGAACCCAGGAGGTGGTGGTTGCAGTGAGCCAAGATCACACCACTGCACTCCAGCCTGGGCAACAGAGTGAGACTCTGTCTCAAAAAATAAAAATAAATAACAAAAACAGAAGAGCAGGATCAAGGTCAAGGAGAAGACAAATATGCAAGTCAAGGTCAATGCAGGTGCAAGGATGGAGCTTGCCCTGAGTTTCCTCACAGCCAGGACATAAGGGAAAACACGCTTTACCTGAAAGGAGAAGGCATGCTGGGTCCTCAGGGAGAAATGCCCGCCTACAGCCTGTGCCCACCCTCTTCAGCTGCGCCATGAGAATTTAGGCTCCTGGAGTATCTGGCCCAGACAGCCGTGAGCCTGCTTCCGGGCTCTGCAGGCCTCTGCCTGGGGCCCATTCTGCCAGGGCAGGCCACACTGCCTGTGGCCAAGGGCTGGTCAAGGGAAATTCATTTGCAAGGGCTGTGGCTGGAGCTTGAGGGTGTGGCTGGGGCCTCCAGCATGGGATGCAGAAGGGATGGGCAGGCTGCAGGCCTGGGGCTAGATCTCCCATGTCACCATTGTCTAGCGTGAACTTTATCAGGTAACCTAGCCCTCTAGGTGGCAAGTAAGGTTTTTGCCAAGATAGGAGGATAGAATGATTGTTTAACTTTTTTTTTTCTTTCTTGAGACATAGTCTTGCACTGTTGCCCAGGTTGGATTGCAGTGACACGATCTCACTATAACCTCTGCCTCCCAGGTTCAAGCGATTCTCCTCCCTGAGCCTTGCGAGTAGCTGGGATCATAGGTGTGCACCGCCACACCTGGCTAAGTTTTGTATTTTTAGTAGAGACAAGGTTTTGCCATGTTGGCAAGGCTGGTCTCAAACTCCTGAGCTCAGGTGATCTGCCTGTCTGGGCCTCCGAAAGTGCTGGGATTACAGGTGTGAGCCGCTACGCCTGGCCAAGTGATTAACTTTTTAATGAAAGTACAGGAAAAGACGTAAACTGTCTTTCCTCTGCTTTCACCCTGCAATAATTGGTACAGAAGACTTCTGTGACCAAATGCGTGCATACACCAAGCAAGCTGTCAATTCTGCGGCAGACATCAGCCAGCGTCCTCTAATCCAATTCAATTCTGATGATCTCCACCTGGACATAGCATCTGATCCCATAGGTTGAGGTCTTAGTTCCCAGGACAGCCTCCCACTTCCAGTAGCAATCCCAAGCCCCAGGCTGCTTTACATGTGCTCCTGACTGACCTGCTATAAATCAGGGTTCCTGTGACTTCCTCCTTGGGTTCCATTAATTTGCTAGAGTGGCTCGCAGAACACAGGAACACACGTTTACTGGTTTATTATAAAGGATATTACAAGGATACAGATGAAGAGGTGCATAGGGCGAGGTATGGGAGAAGCTGCACTGAGCTTCCACGCCCTTCCCAGGCACACCACCTTCCAGGAACCTCCACGTGTTCCGCTATCCGGAAGCACTTGAACCCTGTCCTTTTGGGCTTGTATGGGGGCTTCATTCCATAGGTATCATTGATTAAACCATTGGCCACTAGTGATCAACTTAATCTTCAGCCCCCTCTCCCCTTCCCAAAGGATGGGGTTGGGGTTAGGGTTGGGAGTCCAACCCTCTAATCTTGGCCGGGCACGGTGGCTCACACCTGTAATCCCAGCACTTTGGGAGGCCGAGGCAGGTGGATCATCTGAGGTCAGGAGTTCGAGACCAGCCTGACCAACATGGTGAAACCCCATCTCTACTAAAAATACAAAAAAATTAGCCGAGCATGGTGGCAGGTGCCTGTAATCCCAGTTACTGGGGAGGCTGAGGCAGGAGAATCGCTTGAACCCAGGAGGCGGAGGTTGCAGTGAGCTGAGATCACAACACTGCACTCCAGCCAGGGAGACAGAGTCAAACTCCGTCAAAATAAATAAATAAAAGAAAAGAAAGTCCAACCCTTTAATCCTGCCTGGGTCTTTTGGGGTAACCAACCTCAATCTTGAAGCTGCCTAGGGGCTGCCAGCTCTTCCGTCAGCTCATTAGCATACAAAAAGACATCACTTTGGAGTTTCTAAGGATTTTAGGAGTTGTACGCTGGGAAACTAGGTCGAAGACCAAATATATATTTTATAATATCACAAACATGCGTACAGGCGAGCACACAACTTGTCAGTGTACAGCTTAATGAGCTGGATAGAATATCTTATGTTTAACAGTTTGTGAATCTGGCATGAAACTTTTCAATACTGGGCACATGGTAGATGAGGCTTCGTTGAGTGGTCTCAATGCTACAGCCAGGCCTTAGGGCTTGGCGGGGAAACAGTTCCACTAGGGTCGAACTGGCACAGCATCGGGAAGAAGGCTTGCCTCCTCTAATGTGGCTGCATCATCTCCATCCCTCCCTTGGCAGACCCACAGTGGCACTGCCCTCCCTCACAGCTGTGGTCACTTACCTCCAAGTCCCTTTTTGTTAAACTTGGACCATGTTTTAGCCTTTCTCAGCCTCAACGGATCTTCTTTTCTGATCAGTTTAGTCAGTCTTATTTTAATTTAATTTAATTTAATTCAATTCAATTCAATTTGTTTTTCAAGATAGAGTCTCGCTCTGTTGCCCAGAGTGGAGTGTAATGGCGCAATCACAGCTCACTGCAGCCTCCGCCTCCCAGGTTCAAGCTATTCTCCTGCCCCAGCCTCCCAAGTTGCTGGGATTACAGGCGCCTGCCACCATGCTCGGCTAATTTTTCTATTTTTAGTAGAGATGGGGTTTCACCATGTTGGCCAGGCTGGTCTCCAGCTCCTGACCTCAGGTGATGTGCCCACCTCAGCCTCCCAAAGTGCTGGGATTACAGGCGTGAGCCACCGTGCCCGGCCACTTTGGTCATTTTTAAACGGTCTAATTAGGAGTGCAGCAGCAGCAGATATGACTGTGTTGTTGTATACTCCTCAGCCTGGCCCCTGCCGCCCTGCACCCGCTCCTCTCCCAACCCCAACATGGGTAAGCACATGGGCCTGGGTACAGCAGTCCTGGACTCTAGATGGTTCTGCCTTTTTATCTGGGTGGACTTCACCTCTCCAAGCCTTGGTTTTCTCTCTGCAAAATGGGGATAACGAGGGCTATTGTGAGGATGAAAGGATATAACGCATGTGAGACTAGCACAGGGTCAGGTGTGTACTCAGTGAGTTAGACACACATTTTGCTGACATTAATTTCATGTTACAGTCTGCGTTGTTCTCGTGCACACCTCACTTCTCCGTGCCTCTGTGCTACCCCCTGCCTTCTCTTGGGATGACTACAAACTCCTGTTCGGTCTTGAAATCATAGTTCAGCCATCACTTCCTCTGCGCAGCCTTCCCTCAGCACCGCGGCCCCAGCAAAGGCCCTTCTGAGCACATCTATTTCATGGACTAGACTGTAAGTCACCTGTGGGCAGGACCAGTTCTCCATCATCTTTCAACCCATACCACCAAACATAGCACAGGGCACACAGTGGATCCTCAAAGACAGGTTGTGGGATGAAAGGACACTGTTGAGAGTCACCTGCTGGTCCCAGACTCTTGTCTCCCTGCTCCAGCTGGATTCTCATTGCCTCTGTGATGCTCTGCCAGGAAGACCAGCTGGTACTTGTTGTGTATTTTCCTGTATTCTCAGATACCTCTTCATGTGCATCTGTCTTGTCTTCCCAGTGTTAAGAGTCAGCCCCTGAGGGCAGGGATTCTGCTCTGTAGGCCTCTGCATCACTAGCGAGCCTCACACATCATCCTGAGTGTTGCAGGAGCACAGTTAGGAATTCTGTTATCAGGCCAGGCATGGTGGCTCACATCTGTAATCCCAGCACTTTGGGAGGCCGAGGTGGGCGGATCACCTGAGGTCAGGAGTTCTAGACCAGCCTGACCAACACGGTGAAACCCCGTCTCTACTAAAAATACAAAAATTAGCTGGGTGTGGTGGTGGGCAGCTGTAATGCCAGCTACTCGGGAGGCTAAGGCAGGAGAATCACTTGAACCTGGGAGGTGGAGGCTGCAGTGAGCCGAGATCGCGCCACTGCACTCCAGCCTGGGTGACACAGTGAGACTCCATCTCCAATAAATAAATAAATAAATAGGAATTCTGTTAGCACTTGGCCCAGGAATCAGACTCCTTCCCAAGCAGGCTGCAGTTCAGGCTCAGCTGGTCCCCACTCTCTGGGACAGCACTCCCCTCACTCTGTGATCTCCCAGGAAGTCCGGCTCTGGGCATCTAACCTTGGTGTGGGGAGGCAACATAGCACTCCAGAAAGAGGGTAGGCTCTGTGACAGAACCACCTGTGGTGCAAATCCCAGATGTCCACTTCATAGCTTCTAGAACTTTGCTTTGGGTGGTTGCTTAAAAATCTGAGTCTCAGTCTCTTCCTCTGTATAATGGGAATAAAAAATATGATCTCAAGGTAGTTGTGAGGTTGAAATGAAATAACAGACAGAAACTGGCTAGGCGCAGTGGCTCATGCCTGTAATCCCTACATTTTGGGAGGCCAAGGCGGACAGATCATTTGAGGTCAGGAGTTCGAGACCAGCCTGGCCAACATGGTGAAACTCTGTCTCTACTAAAAATACAAAAAGTAGCCAGGCATGGTGGCGCACACCTGTAATCCCAGCTACTCAGGAGGCTGAGATGGGAGAATCGCTTGAACCTGGGAGGCGGAGGTTGCAGTTAGCTGAGATGACACCACTGCACTCCAGCCTGGGCAACAGAGTGAGACTCCATCTCGAAAAAAAAAAAAAAAAAGTAGAAATAATAGAAACTGAGTTGAAGGTGAATCATTAAAGATGTTCTACAGGTCATCTAATGTAGCAGGGTTATAAAAATATTCTCTCCCAGGCCAGGCTTCTTTAGAGCAGAAAGATCTGAATTCCTTCCAAAACAGAAAAGGCTGGCTTCAGGGAATCCCACACACTTTATGTTGGTTTGTCCCAACCAATAAGCCTATCTGAAGAAAGAAGCGGGTGGGGAGGCATGTGGCAGAAGTCTGTGACTTGGTGGACAAAAGGCAATGCAGACTCTGGCATGACCTTGCGTTCTGGTATCCTGTTCAGCCAGAGTACTCACAAAGGCCTCCAGTTCTCAGGAAGGGAAGGGTGAATTAAATGTGGTTAGCTATCAGGGATTTTTTTTTTTTTTTTTTTTTGAGACGGAGTCTTGCTCTGTCACCAGGCTGGAGTACAGTGGTGTGATCTTGGCTCACTGTAACCTCCGCCTCACAGGCTCAAGTGATTCTCCTGCCTCAGCCTCCTAAGTAGCTGGGACTACAGGCACGCACCACCATGCCTGGCCAATTTTTGTATTTTTAGTAGAGATGGGGTTTCCCCATGTTAGCCAGGATGGTCTCGATCTCCTGACCTCGTGATCCACCCGCCTTGGCCTCCCAAAGTGCTGGGATTACAGGTGTGAGCCACTGCGCCCAGCCTATCAGGGATTTTTATGGGGGTTCCAAGGAGTGGTCTGTGTAGATTTAATATCACCCTAGTTAATGGCTGAGGCACTGGCTGTGTAAGCCCTTGCTAAGCACAGTGAGTGAGTGTGGCTGGAAGTGCAGGAGGCCTGGGTGGGATGCAGGCTGATCCAGGGCTGGCAGTCACTGTGTGCATCCAACCTTTAGGCGAGAGAGGGCTGCTAAACTCTGAGAAGGAATTCAGGGTGAAGAAGAGCTGATGTGCCAATGGTATGGCTGGCACAAGCCTAAGCAGATACCAGCTATTCTCCTGCAAGCTGATCAAAAATATTTTTATTACATAATACTTGACATATACAAGAGAACAATCATATATATTAGACATGATGACAGAATGAAAACCTGAGCCTCACTATGTCCCTGAAGGACCAGACCGTGACTAGGCCGTCGTGTCCATCTGTGGGTCCTCCTCAGCCCATTCCCCATCTCCCTCTAGATGTGACCACATCCTGAATTTTACCTATTTATTCCATTACTTAAAAATACTGGTTTTTGGCTGGGCACAGTGGCTCATGCCTGTGATCCCAGCACTTCGGGAGGCCGAGGCGGGAGGATCACCTGAGGTCAGGGGTTCGAGACCAGCCTGGCCAACATGGTGAAGCCCCATCTCTACTAAAAATACAAAAATTAGCTGGGTGTGTTAGCACACGCCTGTGGTCCTAGCTACTCGGGAGGCTGAGGCAGGAGAATCGCTTGAATCCAGGAGGCAGACGTTGCAGAGAGCCGGGATCACGCCACTGCACTCCAGCCTGGAGACCCTGTCTCAAAAAAACAAAAAACCAACAAACAAAAAACTGGTTTTCCCAGGTAATAATGCCTAAATGAAATGTTTTATTTTGCCTATTTTTAGCATTATAAAAATGGTGTTATACTGCATGTGGCCCTCTATGTTGAGCTATTCTCTCTCTGCATTGTGTTTCTAAGTTTCAAACTGTTCCTGGATCTTGCTGTAGTTCTCACATGCTCACAGTTGCATAATAGTCCATCTTTAGAATATACAGTTTATCTATTTTGTCTCCTGGCCATGGATGTGCATCTCGCTGTGCACAGCAGGGAAAGGTGTTCATGGAGGTACCTGCCTAGGCGTGGAACTTTGGGTTGCAGGATGTGTGAATGTTGAGCTTTACAAGATGATGCCAAACTGTTTTCCAAAGAGGTTGTGCCCATCTGTGCTGTCATCTTTGAGATTGTTTTTCCCATGGCCCAAGGCCCTTCTTCCCGCCCGAGGCAAGCCCACTCCTGAGGACTCCACTGCCTTGGGCCTTCACCGTCTTTCTCTCAGGATCCCATTCCCTACTGGAAAACTCTTTCCTTTCCCTCCTCCACTTGGCCCTGAACTTCCCAGGATTTTTCAAAACCCAGCCTGGAGCTGCCGTCTTCCTGGGAGTCCTCTCAGCCTCACTTCCACTCTCTCCCAGGTTTTTGGAACAGCTTTTCCAGACAGCTCTTGGGCCAGAGTAGGACATCGCATAGTGTGTTTCTTATAACATCAGCCCCACATAATCCTGTTGAGAAAGGCTTCTGGAGTCAAATAAACTTAAGAATCGCCACAGGCAACTTGGAGCCTCTTGGTGTTTATTGTTCTCATTTGAATATTAGCAGCTCATTAGCATAGTTGCAGCACTGAGAGGTCCTACCAGTGTGACCCGTTTTTATTTGTTTAACTTGTTTTCCAAAAATATTTAACCTTGGAGCCCTTTTCCCATTTTCCCCCATTTGGAAAATGGGATCGAGAAGATTCTCCTGCCTATTTCAGTCAGTTTGGTTTTGTGGTCTTATTTTCCTCGGTAACCAAGCTGAGAGTCCTCTGACTTCTGTTGTAATCATCCCGTGTAAACTAGTTCAGTCCAGACCACCCTTTCTGGAGGGCTTGAGTGGAAGGAATGAATGAATGCACTCAGGAATTAATGAATGAAGCAGTCAGCCAATCAGTCAGCCATCCAGCTGAGCCCCCTCTCCTATGCAGCAGCCAGGAACCAGGGACTGATCAGGCACCGCTCATCTTGCACCAGGGGACACCCGGGCTGTCTGGCTGGTGAATCATTCTCCCGTCTTAGGTCCCCTGTAGTTGCATTTTTAGGATCTGTCACCCAATGAGGCTGGGAGCCCCTGCGGGGCAGGAACCAAGTTGCGCTTGCCTCTCTGTGTGCCCCGAGTGGGACATACAGATGGGATCTCTCATCCAACTCCTTCTGAGAGGGGCAGGAGAACATTGTGGTTAAGTCTTCAGCCTCTGGAGCCAGACCAGATGTGTCCCTAATTACCTGGGTAATGTGGGCCAATCTCTGCCTCAGTTTCCCCACTGAGATAGGGGTGATGATAACATACCTTCCTTACAGAATTATTATGGGGTTAATATGCGGCAAGCACACAAACAGTGCCTGGCATAGAGGATGTCACTGGTCTTTATTAGCACTATGACAATGGCAACCAACATTTATTGTGCACCTACTATGTGCCAGGGACTGTGATAAAAGCTTTATCTACATCATTTCAATTCTTCCTCCCCGCAGCCTCTTTGAAGTGGGGGATGTTTTTCTCATTAGGAAGTTGAGTCCTCCCAAGGAGACGTGGTAATGGGTGGTAGCAATAAGATCAGGATTGGGGTCAGCCAGATCACAAAGCCCTGGCCTGCAGGCGTGGAGGGTGCCACCTACCACCTGCGGATGGGACAGCTCCTCTGTTTCTTTTTACTGATAATTACCCTGCCGACAACCTGATCAGTTCTTTTTTTTTTAATCCTCTATTCATCTCAACAAAATGGAAATCCATGGTACTGCAAGGGTTAGAATTTAACATGTGTGCACACGTGTGTGTGCGTGCATGCATGTGTGTGTGTGTGAGAGAGAGAGGGAGAGACAGAGACAGAGAGAGACAGAGAGCAAGAGTGCACAAGTGAAGGAGAAGGAGTTATCTGAGAAGCCTGGGGGTTACTAGCACCTTCATGACAGACCAAGGAAGACAGAGATCCCCGGGTGGGGCTGGCTTTGAGACTGCACAGCGGCAGAATCGCTTGTGAGTCAGCAGTGCCGCAGAACAGCAGGGTGCTCCGGAACTGGGCTTGGTGTCGTCACCCACTGCCCCTTGCACAGGGCCCTGTGTGCCGGGAAATGTTTGCAGGCTGGACACCTGTGGTTGCTTTTAACCAGGCAAGTGAGCTGGGTTAGAGGTAGCCACATGTTCCTGAGGGCTCGCAGCTTTGGATCTGAGAGGGTTAGACAGGGCGTCAGGGGCTGAGGGTCACTGGAGGAGAATTTGCTGTCGTCCCTTTGCCCACGGGCCGGCTGGTCTTCTCAGACCCCAGAGGCCAGCTCCTCTGTTCTTCCCCACCTCGGAGGGGAGCCCCAGAAGTCACAGGGTCAGCTGTCTGCTTTCCACACTGCCTAGGGCTTTATTCTTGCACCATCCCCAGTTCTGGCCACACCAGGGGAGTGAGACATGGGGCGCCGGTAGAGGGGCTGAATGCGCTGGTGTGGGGTAGGAGGTTTCGGATGCACATTCCAGAGGGTGTTTATGGGGGAGCAGACAAGCCTGGGGATTCATTCCTGGTAGGGAACAATTCCCTCAGCACCCGAGGGTGGGAAATGAGGGCCAAAATGGTGGCTCAGAGGGACACAGGTGAGGTAAGCAGGTAAGAATTCCCACCAGGTGTCTCAGAAATGTCCTGGGAAGGGCCTGGCATGGTGGCTCACACCTGTAATCCCAGTATTTTGGGAGGCCGAGGCGGGCAGATCACCTGTGGTCAGGAGTTCAAGACCAGCCTGGCCAACATGGTGAAACCCCGTCTCTACTAAAAATACAAAAATTAGCCAAGCATGGTGGTGGGTGCCTATAATTCCAGCTACTCGGAAGGCTGAGGCACGAGAATCACTTGAACCTGGGAGGTGCAGGTTGCAGTGAGCTGGAATCGTACCTCTGCACTCCAGCCTGAGTGACAGAGCAAGAATCTGTTAAAAAAAAAAAAAAAAAAGAAAAAGAAAGAAAGAAAGAAAAGAAAGTCCTGGGAAGCTGGTGGAAGGAGGTCGAGATCTTCCTGACCTGGGAAAGGAGGGAATTCCCAGGCATCTATAGACCAATAGGACTGTCGAAAGTTTGACTGGTATGAGAATGGGTTAAGGTGCTGAATTTTAGATTTTTATCCTCTCCACGGTGGTACAGTGTGTTCTGCAAACAAAGGAGAGCCAGCCTTGAAGAGCCCTTCTCAGAGCTGACTATGTTCTTTGGCTCCTCAGCCCAGTGAGATGGCCTTAGCTCTGAGCCCTGTGCAATATGCAAACTGGACCAGATGACCCCCAAGGCTCCTTCTAGCTCTGACAGGTCCTGTCGGGGGATCCAGCCTGCATATAGGGCCTGGGCTTCTTTCAGCCCCATAGATGGTGACCCCTCTTCACCGCTAGTAAGATTGAAGCTCATCAGCAGGACCTCAGGCCCTGGCCTCCTTTCTTCTTGGTCCCTTGGGTTTTGGAGTTTTATGTGACATCAATGTCCCAGAAATGCCCATCCTCTTCCTTTTCTCTCAGGGCACAGTCCCCTGAGGTCTTGTGGTTTATCCACCCCCACCCCTGTTCTATGTCCTCCTTCACTTGCTCTCCCCCACGCCCCTCCCACCAGAGAGTTTATAAGCTGGCTGTCCCCTTGCTAACCTCCTGCTGTTCCCTATGAACATGCCTGTTAGATTTCACCGTGTGACACTGTCTTGGTTATGTCCCCGTCGTGCCTAGTTCAGTGAAGAACACATAGCAGGTGCCGAATAAATGCACTCTGCTGGGATAAACTGGTTATCTCCAGAGGGTGGGGTCTGGACAGAGTGGCAAAATAGCGATAGCATGGGATTTGGGGTCCAACTCCACCTCCACTTCCTGGCCGATGGCAATCTGTCATTGGTAAACTGGAGCCGGCATCTCTACTCTCAGGGCTGTTGAGAGGATTCATGGAGAAGCTGTGTGAGGAAATGCTTTGCAGGTTGGAAGGTGCTGGGAACGTGTGTCATCTACCCTGGCCTCTCTCTCAGGAACTCTTGCCCACATTTGTCAGCATCTGCTGGGTGTGTTGTCTTGGGAGAGGTCTTGTTAACCCTCTGCCACCTTGAATTCTCTGGTCCCCTGAAATTCTTTGTCCTGTCTCACACACAAATGCCTCCAGCCCTCAGGTCGGGGGTCTCCTCTCCTCCTGCAATGCCTTGGGCGTGGGTCCAGCCTTGTCTGAGACACAGAGAAATGGACCTCCAGTGCGGAAGATCTGCACCAACATTCGAAAGAAAAAAGACTGATAGGCGGGAGCCCAGCATTTGAATTTACAGGGATGTTAACCCCAACAGCGGCCGGAGCAGCAGAGCAGGACCTGAGCACTTCCTTCCCTTTCTCCTTAGCCTTCCATGAACATGCTCTCTATAAACCCTGTCCTGGTAAATGTCTCCCCTCATTTTTTTTTTTTTTTTTTTTTTTTTTTTTTTAGACAGGGTCTCACTCTGTTGCCCAGGCTAGAGTAAAATGGCTCGATCTTGGCTCACTGCAGCCTTGACCTCCTGGGCTCAAGCAATCCTCCCAACTCAGCCTCTCAAGTAGCTGGGACTACAGGTGGTCACCACCATGCCCAGCTAATTTTTTTTTTTTTTTAATTTTAGTAGAAACAAGGTCTTGCTTTCTCGGCTAGGCTAGTCTTGAACACCTGAGCTCAAGTGCTCCTCCCGCCTCGGCCTTTCAAAGTGCCGGGTTTACAGGTGTGAGCCACCTCCCTCAGCCCTCACTGCTTTTTTTGCCATCTCAGTGCCACCATTTCCTAGCTATGTGACTTTAGACGAGTCACTTGGCCTCTCTGAGCCCATGTCATCATCCGTTAAATTGGGTTCTTTGGCAAATTAAAGGATGTATTCTATGTAAAGTGCTTTACATGGCAACTGGCACATAGTCAGGCCTCAATAAATGTTAACTATTATTATTAATAATGGCCACTGGCCAGGCGTGATGGCTCACACCTGTAGTCCCAGCGCTTTGGGAGGCAGAGGTGGGCAGATCACGTGGTCAGTAGTTCGAGGCTAGCCTGGTCAACATAGTGAAACTCTGTCTCTACTAAAAATACAAAAATTAGCCAGGTGTGGTGGCATGCACCTATAGTCCCAGCTACTCGGGAGGCTGAGGCAGGAGAATCGCTTGAACCTGGGAGGCAGAGGTTGCAGTAAACCAACACGGCACCATTGCACTCCAGCCTGGGTGACAGAGCAAGACTCTGTCTCAAAAAAATAATAAAATGGCCACTCTGAGTGCCTCAGTGAATAGGCTCCTTACTACCTTACTTAGAGCAGAGTTGAGGAAATTGGTGAAGTTCTTCACTACCTTATTAGCCACTCTCTACCCAAATAAATGTACCCCACCTTATCTTATTCATTATGGGTAATCACCTGTAAAAGCGTTCTTTATTTCATTCACAGCCTGAGTGTCCCCAAAAAGGTGCTCCATGACGTCATCCCCCCTCTGGAGGACACCTCCTCCCACCCATGGTGATTTGAGCCTTCTCTTAGGCCAGGGTGATTCCTGGGGGAACCTTAACTGGGGCTAATGTGCACTGACATTTTGCCTTTTGTGTCGAACACACATCCCATTTGCAGAGATTTAGAATTTTTTGACTTTAAATGTTCGCTATTTCTATGTATGTGTAAGAGAGAGTTGTTTTCTTTTGTTTTGTTAAGAGACAGGATCTCACTCTGTTGCCCAGGCTGGAGTGCAGTGGTGCAATCACAGCTTACTACAGCCTCAAACTCCTGGGCTCAAGCGATCCTCCTGCCTCAGTCTCCCCAGTAGCTGGGACTACAAGTGTGCACCACCACACCCAGCTAATTTTTCTGTGTTTTGTAGAGACAGCGTCTCGCTGTGTTGCCCAGGCTGATCTCAAATTCCTGGCCTCAGGTGATCCCCCTGCCTCGAAATTCTGAAGTGCTGTGATTATAGGCATGCGCCACCATGCCAGAGAGAGAGATTTTATCTTTTCTACACAACGTGTGTTTCCCCCAGAAGAAATGCCTTCCTACTTTTGTGATGAATGTAAGTAGAATGCAGACAGAAATTACAGAAACTCCCTGTGCCCCAGCACCCTTACCAGGGCATGCCTGGCCTGGTGGAGTGACAGGGTGTTGTACACAGTGAGGGGAAGGAAGGGAGTGGGAGAGGAGGTGAGGCTCTGCAGAGCAGAGTGGACCATTTCTGGTCAGAAAACAGTGAGGAGGCCGGGCGTGGTGGCTCACGTCTGTAATCCCAGCACTTTGGGAGGCTGAGGCGGGCGGATCACTTGAGGTCAGGAGTTTGAGACCAGCCTGGCCAACATGTTGAAACCCCGTCTCTACTAAAAATACAAAAAAATTTAGCCAGGTATGGTGGTCCTCGTCTGTAATCCCAGTTACTCAGGAGGAGAATCGCTTGAACCTGGAAGACGGAGGTTGCAGTGAGCTGAGATCACGCCACTGCACTACAGCCTGGGTGACAGGGCGAGACTCTGTCTCAGAAAAAAAAAAAAGAGTAAGGAAAGCGAAGTCCTGGGTTGGGGGGAAATGTAGCTGCAGGCAAGAACCAAGGAAGGTGTGGAGCCCCCAACCCAGTAGGGAAAAGGCTTGCTGCCTTGAACCCAAAGAGTGTGAGCATCCTGTACCTTTGCAGACAGAACTTCCACTTACTCACAAACAGATACACCCCACTGCACAGCTAAGAAAGCTAAGGGGAAACCAGGAAGAAGGGAAAAGAAAAGAGGAAAACCCCAGAGGAAACGAGGAGTCAGGCCTGGGCAGGGGGTTCCAGATGACGCATGAGGCTGCAGGAGGAAAAGGTTTCTTTTGAAACACATCTTTTATCCTGTCCTTTTCCGATGTACGTGAGCGTGTGTTTTGGAACGCACATAAAACGCGAGCGCAGTAGCCGGCCTCTGATTTCTGCCAAGGTGGACGGAAACGGAGGGGCGTGCCCAAATGCTTCTTCTTCATGGCTGCTGGATCAGGGAAGTTTTGCTTCTGTGGCCGTGAACATGGAGATTTGCTGAGAGGCCAAGGAGAGAGATGATGGGGGAGGGCTACTTCGGGAGAGGAAGTGGACAAGACCAGAGGTTGGAAAACAGGGGACGGGTTGATCCTAACAACTTGGAGGGACTGGTACTGGGAATAGGAGGTGGGGCCCAGGGGGAGGGCAGAGGACCCAGGAGCCCCAGCTGTGGACCCAGGGTGGGGCTGTGGGCAGGTCCCCAGCCCTGTCTGTGACCTAGGGCAGTGCTTCTCAACCTTGAGGGAGGGAGGGAGGATACCACAGAGGGGAGGGAGCACCTAGACCACTTAAATCCCTTTCTCTGCAGGGGGCCCAGGCAGCCTTGTTTCTAAGCTCAGCAGGGCCACTTACTATGCAGCCAGGGATGAGAACCAATGGCCCACCCTGCTGAGTGCTGGAATGTGTAATGAAGTCCTGCGTGGGTCTGTAATGAACCCAGATTCGGCTCCTAACAGGTGCTGAGTGCATGTTTGCAAACCCAGGCGCCTGTTGCAAGGAGAGGACAGAGCTAAAGCAAGGAGCCTGCGGAGGAATGGGTGGCAGGGACTGATGAAGTTGGGGGAAGGAGGTGCAGAGGAAAATGTTGAGGCTCGCTCTGGACTGCCTCGCCTGGGGATGGAGAATGGGGCTGCAAGGGAGGGGCAGCCAGCGCTTTGAACTTGGGTGGGGCCTCCCTAAATAGAGTGGGGGAAGTCCAGGTGCTGGGCAGGGCTGTCTTCACCTGCCCATCCTCAGCGCCGTGGGGGGATGAGGCGCAAAGAAGCCCTCCTGGGAATGTGGTGGAAATACCCACCTTGAAAGGTAGAGAGTGGAATCGTTGCCCTGAGCACCTGGGTGTGGTCGCAGCATCCCCCGTGAGGCCTCCCAACCTGCAGCTGCCTCCTGCGTGCGCATCTGCCACTGCTGGCTTTAGGGCCAGGGCCAGGCCCAGCTGGAGGTCCAAGCTGGAGCCCTGGGCAGTGTCCAGTGCACTGTGGCCTCAAAGTGCCCAGCCATGGTTTAGTACTCCAGCTGGCAAGGCCCTGGGTTCAAACCCTGCTCTGAATTTGTCCAGTTGCTTCCCCATGGTGTCATTTGGTTTGTTCCTCTGTCCCTTGTGTTCCCTGATAACAAGAGGTTACCTCTCAAAGCTTGGTTAGATCAGATTAAACGTCTTTGGCCAAAGAACATCATAGGGAAGGTTGGGGCCTTCCTGCTGCATCATCTCATACCATTCTACTGTCACACTTCTGGTGGAGGCTTTTAATGATCCAGTTTCCTGGACTCCTCTCCAGAGGCTCTGATCCTGCCACGCTGGTGTTGGAGCCTGGGTGTCTGTATTTTTCAAAACCACCCCAAGTGATCTGCCGTAGTGTATAGCCTGCATCCCTGACCCCAGTAGCCAGCTGGTCAGGGACTGTCCTTGGTTTTCTGAAGAGCATAGAATAAGAGAGTGGATGGGACAGTCCAGGTAGGTGCCAGCCCTGGTGGCCGGTGCTATCAGGTGTGAGGCAGGGAGGGTGGCCTCTGGGCCCCCATAAAGAGGAGAATGGGCTTCCTCAGGGCAGCTCCAGGTTCAGGTAAGAGTCCTTGCAAGACCAGGAGTGCCCCACGCACTGTGCTCCCGGCGTCCAGCATAAGGCCTGGCCCAGCGTGAATGTTTATTGAATAAAGACACACACCAGGCTGGTGGCTCTCTGAGGAGCCCTGGGGAGCTGCTCTAAGAGTGAGCTCCCAGCCAAGCAGCACAGCTTTGTGTGTTCCCCACTGGGCTGCTTCTAAGATTCAAACAAAGGACTCCCAAACTGTGGAGCTAGCAGCTGTGTTAAAAGGCCCAGAGAGCCAGCAGGGCCATGGCCATCACCTGCCCTCAGCTCGCCGTGGAGACAGCCTGTGGGACCTGGGAGAGACGAAGGAAAGGACTGGGCACTCAGTGGGGCTGCTGAGGGCAGTGAAAGGAGGCAGGGAGGTCCTCGCAGGGAGGTCCTCGCAGGGCCACTGCACCTGCTGAAGCAGGTGCTAGATTCTACATGGAAACGAGTGAAAGAATCCCTCCTCTCAAAAAACTCACCATCAATGGAGTCGGTGGACAATGCACTTGAGTGCATTGAAGGTTACCTGTGACGGATGTATAAGAGCTGGGGAAATGGCCAGAGGGAACAATTTGAATTGGAGACATTAAAAGGGGATTTAAACATGGGACCTTGAGGGATGAATAGAAGTCTGGAGTCAGAAGCGAACAAGAGGGCTGGGCAGGCTATGTCTTGTCTTTTACCAGAACTGGCTTGAAGGGTATAGCAATGTGGGGACCCAGCAAAATCCTGGTGTGGGAACCAGCAGACTTGGCTGCTCAGAACGGCAGCCTAACTCTGTAAGGTTCTCATTTCCCAATCTGTAAAATGGGAGACTGACTTAGGGTTTGGAGGGGTCAGGAAGGGGAGAAATGTTACAAGGTTAAAATGAACTAAAGATGCAAACATGGCTTAGGAAAAGTTTGAATTAGAATTCCACTTAGTGGAGTGGGAGGCAAAGAAACAGATGGCCAAGCTCCAGGAGGAAAAGCTGGCCAAGCTGAGCTCAACTTCAAGGCCCAGCTCAAATGTCACCTCTTTGAAGGGGACTTCTTTGCCTTCTCCCACTTCCTTCCCCTCAGCACCCCTATTCCTTGAAGTCCCAAGTGGGACTTCTCACACTCTGCAACTGACTGGTCACCTGCACTGAGGTGGGGTCACTGAGGAGGGTGGAGGCTACATCTTTTTTTTTTTTTTTTTTCTGAGGCAGAGTCTCACTCTGTTGCCCAGGCTGGAGTGCAGTGGCACAATCTCGGCTCACTGAAACCTCTGCCTCCCAGGTTCAAGCGATTCTCCTGTCTCAGCCTCCAGGGTAGCTGTGATTACAGGTGCCCACCACCACGCCTGGTTAATTTTTTCTGTTTTTAGTAGAGACAGGCGTTTCGCCATGTTGGCCAGGCTGGTCTCGAACTCCTGACTTCAGTTGATCTGCCTGCCTTGGCCTCCCAAAGTGCCGGGAATACAGGCGTGAGCCACCGCGCCCGGCCGAGGCTACATCTCATACATCTTGGGCACATAGTATGCAGGTACTGAATGAGGCCCAGCCTTCAGATGATCAGGTCTGGGGCACTTCAAGAACGATCTGCGTGCTATGAGAGAGACAAGCTCTGGCTGGGAGTCAGCAGGCCTGGGCTGTGCTCTCTGCACTGCCTCCAACCAGTGGAGGAACAGCAGGGAAGGCACATCGCTTCCCTGGGCCTTAATTTCCCCAAGGAGCTGAACTAGGTGATGTCAAAGGTCCCGCTTAGCTTTGACATTTTATGACCTAACACTGTAATAGAATCACTAACATGCGTGGCCATTTACAGAATGCTCCTAAAGCCCTTCCAGGACACTCCTATTGTTCCCCCGCCCCCGCCCTACTCCAATAGCAAGAAAACTTTCACAGGTGGAGACTTTTCTTCAACAGGTCTTTATTGGCTGGGCACGCTGGCTCACACCTGTAATCCCAGCACTTGGGGAGGCTGAGGTGGGAGGATTGCTTGGGCCCAGGAGTTCGAAACCCAGCCTGGGCAATATAGCAGGACTTCATCTCTACAAAAAATTTTAAAAACTTAGCAGAGCATAGTGGCATGTGCCTGTAGTCTCAGCTACTCAGGAGGCTGAGGTGGAAGGACTGGTTGAGCCAAGTAGTTCAAGGCTGCAGTAAGCTGTGATTGTGCCACTGCACTGCAGCCTGTGTGACAGAGTGAGACCCTGTCTCAAAAAAAAAAAAAAGAAAAAAGAAAAGAAAAATGGCCTTTACTGAACATCTATCTTTGTACTGATGAGCACCCCCAGAGACACCTGGGCCCACCAGGGTTTCTAGAATGTTCTAGAATGTTCAGCATCCCCTGAGTTGCCAAGACTAGACATTTAGGGGGAGCTGTATGACAATCACCCAAAACTGATGGGCAGAAATGCTGTGACCCCAAGTAGGCCTCTGGGCCTTGATGACATCCTCAGTAACAGAGAGCACGGCACCCCTTTGTGTGTCTGAAGGCAGAGGGCTGGGACCCTACCTGAGCACGCACAGGGCATCTGGGCTTTACCTGGGAGTCCTGAACTGCGCAGCAAAGTGGAGAAACGGACCCAGCTCTCAGCATGTGTCCTTGGGAGCTGCTCCCCTCTGTGGTCACCAGGCAGCACTTGCCCACCTGTGGGCTTGGTGCCTCTCAGGGAGACGCTCTGGGGTCTGAAGAGTGAGGTCCCTGCCTTTTACCCGTCTCTGGACACCCCTCTGGGCCTAGGCCCTTCCCTGTGAATCCCCTGCCTGAAGGAAGAGACCCACAGCCCTGGGGTTCCTCTGGGGTGCCAAGTGGGGGACTGTGTTTGGTCCTGGGGAGGATGGGCTGGGGCTGCTGAGCAGGCCAGGGGTGCAGGACCCCTCCATCCCCCGCTTCTCCTGTCCTCCTCCTTCTTCCACCCTTGACTCCTCTCACCTCTTGTCCCCTCTTCCCTCCTGTTTCCACTCTCTTTCCTCCTCCCCAGGTCCCACCAGACTGCTCCATGCCCCGGACCACAATTTGGCTGAAGGCAACAATCCCTCTCTCGCACCCTCCTCCCTTTTTCCAGGCTTATCAACTTCACTTTCCTGTGAAATGAAGGGGTGGGGGGGTGGGTAAGAAAGAAAGAAAAAGCACTTCATGCTCACAACACAACAAAAAACAGGTTTAAACATTTTACAGGTTTCAACATTTTTCAGGCGGTCTTGTCACATCTTATCAGATCAGCCAGAGCCGCAGGCAGGCGCTCCAGGAGCTGCTTTGGAGAACAGAAGCTGCAACATTCCAGCCCAGGCACTGCCCCGCCCTCCACACCCCTTCCCTCCCTTCCCTTTTCTCCCCAAAGAAACATCCCACAGGGCTCCCTGGGATGGAGCACAGGGCCCGCAGCCTCTTCCCTCTGACTGGGGTATAGTCTGTGGCCAAACCCTTGGCTTTGAGCTTCTGCCCGCACCCTTTCCTTCTCCCCACGGCTGCCCAGAACCATGGTCCTCCCGGGCTCTCAGGTGGTCCCTGGCAGCTGAGCTGTGCCACCTCCTCGGAAGGCCCCTCGTGGCCCTGAAAGGGAACCTTCAGAAGCTGCGGGCAGAAGGGAGTTGCTAAAGTCGTCCACAGCATGTAGAAGTGGTCATTTGGCCAGCAGGGCTAGTGAGTTTCCGGGGCTCCTGGGGCCTGTCCTCGGGGGCTCCTGTCGGAGGGGAAGGAATAGCTTTTTCCTTGGTTATCTTTTCTCCGTGTGCATGGGTTTTTCTCCTATGGCGTGGATCACTGCCTGGGATATCCCCTTCCACTCAGTCACCCCCAGACCTCACCTTTCTGTTCCTGCTGCACTCACGGTGACATTAGTGACACAATGCAGGGTGACAGGTCCAGGAAGGGCTGGCCAAAGCCCAAAGGCTCAGAGTTAAGCCGAGGCAACGTGAGGGATAGACCCAGAACCTGGATCCCAGGACAACAGGGAAGAGCTGGCTTTGTAGCTTGTAACAGGAGCATGGTTAGGGCTGGGAGGTCCCACTGTGTGGTCAGAGAGGGGTCCCCAAGGGAAGGCAGCTGTGCACTGAAGGCTTAGGATGCATCATAAGAAAAGCAAAAAGGGGAGGCCGGGCACGGTGGCTCACGCCTGTAATCCCAGCACTTTGGGAGGCCAAGGCGGGCAGATCACGAGGTCAGGAGATCGAGACCATCCTGGCTAATACAGTGAAACCCCGTCTCTACTAAAAAATACAAAAAAATTAGCCGGGCATGGTGGCGGGTGCCTGTAGTCCCAGCTACTCGGGAGGCTGAGGCAGGAGAATGGCGTGAACCCGGGAGGTGGAGCTTGCAGTGACCCGAGATCGCGCCACTGCACTCCAGCCTGGGCGACAGAGCGAGACTCCATTTCAAAAAAAAAAAAAAAAGAAAAGCAAAAAGGGGAAAGCGCAGAGGAGGTAGGGGCACAGTGGCTCCCTCTGTGTAGGTATGTTGGCTGTGCATCTCGTGGGGACCTCGTCCGGAATATGGAAAACACAAGCCAGACCTGGGCGCCTGCTGCCAGTGTTGGCTGGGCAGGGGCTGAGGTTTCGGGAGAGCCCACCTTTCCAGCCTCCTAGTGTGAGGTTCAGGCCCTGAAGCTGGGCTGGCTGCCCCTTGGCCCCCAGCCCCCTCCCTGGTGCCTCCACCCCTTGGCATATGGCATCAATGCTCCCACCGTGACGCTCAGTGTCCTCCCACCGTGTGCCCACAGCCAAGATGGGGCCTAAAGTATAATTCAACTTTTAGCTCCTTACAAGCATCCCCAGATGGATTTCTAGCTTCCGTCCCTCTCTTGGGCCCAGCTCTGTCTCTACGTGGTGCCTGGAAGTCCCTCTGGCCCCACGCACTTCCTCGTCTTGTTCCCAAAGCTGCTTTGCTTCTTACCTTCCCATCTTGGTGGACACCATCTCCATCTTCCTGGTCATCCTGGCTCAAAACTTTGGCCATACTTTCCTCCTTCCTCCTGTTTCTCATGGGACCAAACGGCTACCAGTCCTTATTCACAGCTTCCTGTCTGTTCCTGAAGCCACTGTCCTGAGATGACCAGCGGGCCCATCCCCTGCCACAGACCCCGGTGACCCAGACACATGGGTCTTGGCCCAGCTGCACAATGAGAGCTGAGCCCTGGGAGGTTGCAATGGATCCCCAGGCCCCAGAGTCTCCTTAGCATCCACGTCAACCCCGCCTCCCAGCCGCTTTCCCAGCACCCACCTCTTGTCTCATTTTGCACATAACTAACAGGATGATATTCCAAAGCCCAGCTAAGGAAGGTGCTAGTTTGTCCGAATAATGTCTGGCACTCAGGGCCCCTTTCTAGCTGCTTCCCCTCCTCTGCTTCTCTGTGTGGCTCCTAGACCCTGGCTTGGGGAGGCATGCCACCTTGCCTGGGGCTGTCCCCCTGCCACCTGGCTCCACCTGAGGGCCCCTAGCCATCCTTCTCCAGCTCGGTAGCTGCTCCACATGGAGCCCTCCAGAGGCAGTGAGGACACACTTGCCCCCGTTCCTAGAGATCGCTCGCCCTGACCGTGCACCCTCTGGCCCAGAGGTTACTGGGGCTGAAAGTTACAAGTGCCTTGGGACCATGTCTCACTCATTTAAGGCACCCACAGTGCCCAGACCTAGTAGGTGCTCAAGAAATGCTTGTTGGTCTGTTACTGACAGCAGCCTCCTGGGCTGGGTGCTCCTCAGGTGTGGCTTCATTAATCTCCACGTTCCCAGAACCTGGAACCCTGCCAGGCTGAGAGTCATCACTCAATTCGTGCGTGTTGAGTGAATAGGCAGTGAATGACTTTGTTTACCAAGGCCAGACTTTAACCTGCTCTCTGAAGGACAGGCACTTCCACTGACTCCACAAATCACCAGGCCCCAGTCTTGACAGCTGGGGCTAAATCAAGACAGGAGCCCACTGGGCTTAGAGCCCGGGCAGCTGCTCCTTCATGGTTTTATCTCAAGACCTTGGGTCCCAGCTCAGGGCCTGCACCCACTCTACCCTCACCCTTCCCTTCCTGTCCTAGACATAGGCAAGGGTGCTCCCACCCCTGCTGGAGATGCAGGCGAGCCAGAGGGCCCCGTTGAGAGAATGAACTAGCCCCGTTGAGAGAATGAACTAGCCCCTAATGGCAAGGCCCAGAGACATGTCCCACTTCTTTGATGAAAGGCACCCCCTGAGGCACCTTGGCGCTCTCCCACAGCCACAGGACACAGCCCCACCTGAGTCCCTTTGGGCTCAGAAGAAACCCCCTACCCTTGGCCCTGCACTGAAATGTCAAGAAGGTCCAGACCTGTGCTCAGTACCCGCAGGGTGCACATGTGTTCCAGGAGGGCGAGGAACAGTGGCAGCTGGAATCCTGAGCTAGGTTTCTCTGGTTTTGTCACAAGCTCCCTGCCAAGCAGCCAGGTGAGCGGCTCCAGTCCAGGCCTGTGGCCTCCCTCATCCACAGCAGTGATTGCCTCGTCACTATGGGTGTAGTTGGGTGCATCAGAGCCCACCAGGCCCAGCCCCACGGTATGCACACATGCCCCTGAACTGGCTAGGCTTCCTGTCCTGACATCTGCCAATCCTGAACGGCTTCTTGACCTAAGTGGAAAGGTAGAGGCCTGAGTTCCAAAGCCAACGCTTGGTTCCTCACTTCCTGCTCTTTCCTCAAACCTTTCCTTTCCCTTCTAGAAGTTTCCGTGGAGGGTGGAGCCCTTCTGGGCCCAGGAACAAGTTGGGCCTCTGTCCAGTACTGCCCAGGAGCCAGCAGGTGGAGCACCTGGCCCTGGCCTGTTGTGGGGTTGACAGGAGCACCGTGGCCCCCACCACAGGGAGAGAAAAATGACCACAGGAGAGGTGATTTCTGACTCCTTCTCCTCACCTTCCCTCCTCCTCTCCCTCTCAGCAGCCATGTCAGTCATTTTAAGAGACACTAGATCTTCAGATCAGAGTCTTAAGATGCCTTCCCTTTGAGGCTGGCACAGATGGTTAGATTTCCGCATGGAGAAAGGTAAGGGCAAAGGGCCTATTTCTGCAAAGAAGGCATGACTTGGGGAGACTTGGCCCTGGAGAGCACCCTGAGACCGGAGGGAGGAGGGGAGCCTTTCCCTGGGCCGCAGCCCCTGGGTCCACCTTCTGCAGCTCCACCCATGTGAAGCCAGGTGGGTCCTTTTTGTGCCCAGCCCCAGAGAAGCTTCTGAGAATGTGCATTCATCACCCCCAGGTTAAAAGCCTGGTGGGTAAAAGAACTGTGAGCCCTGGGTTCTCCTCCCACCTCCTGGGCAGCCAGCTGTGTGACCCCGGAAAATGACAAACCTCTCTGGGCCTCAATCTTCCCGTATAGAGGAAGAGGGAATTAGACTAGACCCGGGGCTCTGGAATTTCGTCCTGCACAGGGGCTCTAGATGCGAAGTTGAAGGCTGGGGATGCAAGCACCATCCCTCCTTTGATTTTTTTAATTTTGCTATTTAACCATTTTAAAGTGTACTATTCAGTGGCATTAAGTACATTCCAATGCTGTGTGACCATCACCACCGTCTGTTTTCATCATCCCAAACTCTGTACTTATTAAGCAGTAACTTCCCACTCCCTCCCTTCCAGAACCCCTGGCAACCTCTGTTCTACTTTCTGTCCCTGTGAATTTACCTAGACACCTCATGTAAGTGGAATCATACAGTGTTTGTCCTTATGTGTCTGGTTGCTGTCGCTTAGCTTGTTTTCAAGTTTCTTCTATGTTGTAGCTTGCATCAGAATTTCATTCCTTTTTTTTTTTTTGAGACAGAGTCTTACTCTGTTGCCTAAGCTGGCGTGTCTTTACCTAGAACCTCATGTAAGTGAAATCATACAGTATTTGTTCTTCCGTGTCTGGCTTCTGTCGCTTAGCTTGTTTTCAAGTTTCCTCTACGTTGTAGCTTGCATCAGAAGCATCAGAATTTCATTCCTTTTTTTTTTTTTGGTTGGGGGGACAGAGTCTTGCTCTGTCGCCCAAGCTGGAGTGCAGTGGCGCAACTGGCTCACTGTAACCTCTGCCTCTCAGGTTCAAGCAATACTCCTGTCTCAGCCTCCTGAGTAGCTGGGACTACAGGCACGCACCACCAGGCCCGGCTAATTTTTGTATTTTAGTAGAGATGGGGTTTCACCATGTTGGCCAGGCTGGTCTCGAACTCCTGACCTGAGGTGATCCACCCGCCTCAGCCTCCCAAAATGCTGGCATTACCGCCACCACACCCGCTTCCTTCCTTTTTCTGGCTGAATAGGGTCCCACTGTATGTATGGGCCACCTGTTGTTTATCCATTCATCTGCTGAGGACTCTTGGGTTGTCTCTACCTTTTGGCTGCTGTGAGTAGCACTGCCGTGAACACTGGTGTACAGGTGTCTGTTGGAGTCCCCATTTTCTTTCCTTTTTTTTTGAAACAGAGTCTTGCTCTGTCACCCAGGCTGGAGCGCAGTGGCGCCATCTCAGCTCACTGCAAGCTCTGCCTCCCAGGTTCATGCCATTCTCCTGCCTCAGCCTCTCTGAGTAGCTGGGGCTACAGGCGCCTGCCACCACGCCCGGCTAATTTTTTGTATTTTTAGTAGAGACGGGGTTTCACCGTGGTCTCGATCTCCTGACCTCGTGATCCTCCCGCCTCGGCCTCCCAAAGTGCTGGGATTACAAGCGTGAGCCACCGCACCTGGGCGGAGTCCCCATTTTCAATTCTTTTGGGCGTATACCAGGTGTGGCATTGCTGGATTATAGGGTGATTCTATGTTTAACTTTTTGAGGGACAGGGCCCTCTTTTCATATGTTCTGTATGTAGGGGAGAGGAGGGAGATTGTGTGTGATTCCATTTGGGAGGCCACCTGGTTGGGTGCAGGACTGCCTACCCTAATGGATCACTCAGGGGAGTGGGTGCTGGCAGCACAGTGGGTGTCCCTGGCAGCACAGTCAGACCCCCATCAGCAGGGGATTGGCCGTCACTGGGTGGACGGCAGCATCTGAGGCCAACAACCCCAGTGTCAGATCAGGCAGGACGCACTGTACAGGGTGCCTTTAGGTGTCTCACCATATGTTAGGTGCGTAAGTCAATGCAGCATCCAGGCTGACCTGAATTCACTGATTAAAAATGTTCTCTAAAAATGTTCTCTATGGCCAGGCATGGTGGCTTACGCCTGTAATCCCAGCACTTTGGGAGGCAGAGGTAGGTGGATCACTTGGTCAGGAGTTCCAGACCAGCCTGGCCAATATTGCGAAACCCTGTCTCTACTGAAAATACAAAAATTAGCTGGGCATGGTGACGCATGCCTCTTATCCCAGCTACTTGAGAGGCCGAGGCAGGAGAATCACTTGAACTCGGGAGGCAGAGGTTGCAGTGAGCCAAGATCACGCTTTGTACTCCAGCCCGGGCAACAGAGCAAGATTCTGTCTCAAAAAAAGAAAAAAAAAGGTCCTCTCTGCCTTGTGCTCACCATGCAGGCCTCCTGCAGCCCTCTGGCCACAGCAGGCGTTATCAGGGTAGAGGCACAGAACTGGGGTGGGGATGGGAGTTAGATAAGGCCATGCACAAGGTTTAGGTCTTGCCTATTTGTGGAGGGATATTTCACTCCAAGGGGTCAACACCAAAGTTTCCACAAGCAGCCTGTTGTGCAGGGCACCCGCAGCCCATCCGCCTGGCTGCCCGTGTGTGTCCTCGGCCCAGCTGGGCAGTGGGTGGTCGGAGTGGAGGATGAGCCGGCTTCAGGAGGAGGGTGGCAGGGTCCTAGGGAAGGGAAGGGCCGGGCCAGGAGCTGGGTATAAATAGCCCCTGGCCCAGCTGCGAAGGCCTGGCAGGGTCCTCCGCCCTCCCCCTCACCAGCTGTCAGTGCCAGGCAGGTCTCTATCCCCCTTGGGAGCCTGGCCATCATCTCAGATCCTAAACGTAGGAACTTCCTCAGCGGAACCAAGGAGTCTTGTCCTGTGTGTAGGCGGAAGCTCCGGATGCCGGGAGGTCTGGCGAGTGAGGGGCATCAGGCTCGTCCTTTGGAAGAGTTCTTCATTCCTTTCCTCCAGAATCATGAATACCTAGCATGTGCCCGGCCCTTTGGAAGGCCGAGTGGGCTGGGGTGTGTGTGTGTGTGTGTGTGTGTGTGTGTGTGTGTGTGTGTGTGTGTGTGTGTGTGTGTGTGATGGGGTAGGGACCGGGGAATAACTGGAGAAAACACTACCACTACCTCTCTTCTTGGAGACTGAGACTGGCATAGCCAGATGGAATTGGAAACAAATCAGTTCAGCACTTTGGGATAAGAAGGTTTGAATTAGGTACAGGAAAGATTCAGGCGGAGGAGAGGTGACTTCTGTCTGGAGCTCACAGAAGGCTTTAGAATGGTGGTGACCTAGGAATCAGGTTTCGAAGGATGGTGTAGAATGGTTGCCGGGGGCCGGGCAGTGGAGAGGTGCTTCGAGCCGAGGGCTCAGCATGTGCAAATGTGCAGAAGTGTGAAACAGCCCCGCTGGAGTCATTCAGCTGGCTAGGCAAATCCGTCAAAGCCACGCACACTTTGGCACAAAGAATCGAGGAGCATGAGAGTCACTGTGCCGCCTCCCGAAGTGGAACGTGTACTTCAATAATGGGGAATAGGAGTGGCGAGTTAAAGTAATGTGTCTGCGATGGTGGAATTTCAGCAGTGTGCGGGCAGGAGGCTCAGGGTGGGGGTGGCCGGGCATGTTTGGGGAAGGGCAGCCATCCTGCAGAAATCAATCCCATGGCCACAGCCTCTTTAGTCTCCGACACTGGCCCAGGAGCTAAGCCCCATCGCCAGAGGCCTTGCTAATTACTCGCAGGATGACCCCATCTGAACTGAAGCCTTTGAATGGAGCATCCTGAAAATGTCCTTTTGCCTGCACTCTTTGAGTGACCTTGAACCCTCATCCAGATCACAACTGTCTTTGTTCTGCCACCCCTGTGAGGACTGAGGTCTGATCCAGGCATCCTTTCCAGTGTTGGATAGGAAGGGGCTGAGATTTCTGATGTGTTCTACCAAGTCAGGGATGCAAGGATGGGAGAAATGAGGTTGGTGACAAGGCAGGGAACAAAGTGCTGGGGACAGCTCCACACACACCGTAACCATAGCAACCACCATCTAGCAAGGGCTCCCCACGTGCCATGCACTGGATTGTGTCACTTATTCCTCCTGTCGTGTCTATTTTACCGATAAAGAAACTGAGGTATAGAGGTTAAGAAAATTGCTGAGATCAGCAGCTAGGAAGTGGTAGAGCTGGATGGGACCCTGGCACCATGGCTCCCAGGTCCACAGTTGGTGGGACCTGGGCAACAGGAAGGAGACAGGGTTTGGTGGAAAGAGGGAAAACAGCTCATCATGACTGAGGCTCAGGAATTGTTCTCAGAGGACATCACACTGGGAGTCAGACAAACTCAGGGCTTGAATTCTGGCTCAGCCACTTCCTTGCATAAGTCGCCCAACTACTCCATGCCTCAGTTTCCTCATCTGCAAAATGGGGATAACAATGCCCACCTCCCAGAGTTGTTGTGAGGATTCAGTGAGATTATGTATTTGAAGTGACTGGCACAGAGCAAGTGCTACATAAATAGTTGTCATTAGTATTGCCAGTATCCGGGTAACTGTGGGGACAGAAGGAAATCCCTGTGGGGCAGAGGAGAGACTGCGTCTGCACAGCAGGAAGGGCTCAGTGGCACCTTCTTCCTGGAGATGTCTGGGAAGCACTCCGACCTTTGAGGCCAATCAAGCCATGCAGGCAGTGTGCCAGAGCTCAGGTGCTCTGCTGGGCTGCGAAGACCCACCTGGGACCCTGAGGGAGGTAACTGGTGAAACCAGGAAGCAGGGAGCCCCTTGGAGAGCTGGGTGAGGAGCCGCCTTGCCAGCATGGGCCCCCCGACTCCTCAGTCCCCCAAGCCAGCCGGCCTGGCTTTCTCTGTGGATATGGCTGTGTGACCTCGCACAAGTTGGTCCTCTTTCACGGCCTCTGCTTTTTCTTTTTCTTTTTTTTTTTTGAGACGAAGTCTCGCTCTGTCGCCCAAGCTGGAGTGCAGCGGCATGATCTTGGCTCACAACAACCTCCACCTCCCAGGTTCAAGCGATTCTCCTGCCTCAGCCTTCTGGGTAGCTGGGATTACAGGCGTGAGCCACCTGGCATGGTCGGCCTCTGTTTTTCATCTGTATAATGGGCTTTGTGCTCCCTTAGGGCTCCTCCTGTGGGTTCTGCTGCTGGACCAGGGCTCAGCCTCCAGTTTAGCTTGAGGGTGCCCAGGCCTGCAGAAGGTGTCAAGCAAGGGCTGGGAGAGGGGGAGGAAGGAGGAGGCAGGAAGGCAACGGGAGGGGAAGGAGGAGGGCAGAGGAAGGGTCTCCGAGTGCCTCTCACTCCCGCCTCAGCTCTCCGCTCCAGTGGTCCCATATAGGGCTCTGGGTCCCAAACACCAGAGGAAGGAGCGGGGACAGCCCAGGCTTCTTCCCTGGGTCTTGTTCCTGAGCTGCCCATCTAGGATGGTGCAAGGCCGAGTTGTCTGCACTGAACTCTCCCTCAGTTTCCCCTCCAGTGATTGCAGGGCTGTGGGGGCAGCTGGCACAGCAGGGCTGGGCTGGAGATGCTGCTTAAGAGCACGGGAGGGGCAGCCTGAGCCCAGAGGGAGGCTCAACGGGGACCTCTGCAGCCTGGCAGACAGGGCAGGGTACTTAGCTCCCTGGCCTCAGTTTCCTCATCTTGGAAATGGGACAATGGCGATGATAATGAAGTTTTTATTACAGACCTGCCGTGAGGATTACATAAGGTAACAGACACAAGCACTCAGAACTGTGTCCAGCACATGATAGGCCCATAATAAACCACAGGGATTATATGATCACTCTAACCTGCTTCTAACAGGGCAGGGGCAGTGCTGTGTGCGCCGTGTGCCCATCAGGGCTCTGGGCTCACTGACTCTACCCACTCAGGCATGTGCTCAGTATGGAGGCCCAGGGTGCAGATGGGCCAGGCCTGAAGCCACCTTCACCCCATGAAGACCCAGGCAGGCACTGCCCAGCAGGCAGGGTCACATAGTGATGACCCCCATGGGCTCTGGAGTCTGACACCCTGGGTTCCAACCAGCAATTCCATAGGAGCTCTGTGGTCTGGGCTGCTTCATCAACCTGCAAGGCTAAGCCATCTGTAAAATGGGGCTAATAATGACCCTACTTTGTGCTGGGGCTATTTTGAGGATTAAATGAGGCAAACCCAAGGAAAAGCCTCTGCTCAGGGCCAGGCACCGGGGAAATCAGTAATTAGCCATTACCACCGATAAATCAGAACTTCTGGGCCGGGCGTGGTGGCTCGCGCCTGTAATCCCAGCACTTTGGGAGGCCGAGGTGTGTGGATCACGAGGTCAGGAGATCGAGACCATCCTGGCTAACATGGTGAAACCCCGTCTCTACTAAAAATACAAAAAATTAGCCGGGCGTGGTGGTGGGCACCTGTAGTCCCAGCTACTCGGGAGGCTGAGGCAGGAGAATGGTGTGAACCCAGGAGGCGGAGCTTGCAGTGAGCCGAGATCACGTCACTGCATTCCAGCCTGGGTGACACAGCGAGACTCTGTCTCAAAAAAAAAAAAAAAAAAAAAAGAACTTCTGGCTGCTGCTTCTTTCTCTTTAGAAAAAGCTCAGTGCTTAAGACCTGGAATGCCTCACAGATGTTACCATCCAAACTCCCAGATCTGGCTCCTCAGTTCCTCCACCCAAAATAAACAAATGGAAAAAGGAGAACCTGCCTCTCCCCCTGACAACTGAGCCTGGAGACAACCAAGGTGGATGGGTAGCATGCCCCTGCACGGTGCCCAGGGAGCTCTGTGCCTTGGAGTCTCCACGAATTGGCCAAGGCCAACATCAAGCTCAAGTATGGAGGAGGGACCCGGGGGAAGGCACATGGCACTCTCTGACCCACCACAGACCAAAAAGCCGTAGGCAAGCTAATTCACTCTCTAAACCTCAGTTTCCTAGTCCAGGAGATAGTGATGTTCTTCATGTTTGGGAATTGATCAGAAATGTTGTATATAAAGTGCCTGGCAAGCAGTAACAGTTGCCAAATGGCAGATGTTTGGCTCGGCCCTGTGTCCAGCCCAGAAGCTTTTGTGTACTAAAAAGCACACAAAAAACCTCACCCTGCCCCATGGGGTCTTCTCCCGGCCCCTCTTTCCGAGGCTTTTGCCCATCACTTTTTGTGGGAAACTTGACTTAGGCCAATGCTGGACCAAAGCCTTGGTCAGTGCTGGACACAGAGGGAGAGGAGATGGGCCCCTTCTTCCAGCTCACACTGCCCCTGGTCATAGAGCAGATTGCAATTGTCCTTGAAGGCCACTGACACTCACGGATCATTTTCTCAGGTTCTCCCAGAAAATGTCATTTCTGCTGTTCCTGTGCTGAGGGCAGGGAACGGAAAAGTCGTAATTCCTACCTTGGTTTTCTAGTATTTTAAACTCTTCTGCCCCACCCCCATAAGGTCATTCTTTCTGTTGTTGACTATAAAACCTGAGAGAGTTGATGGGATATTGATTACAAAGCGAGGGGCAGAGGAATGGAGTGAATTGACCAGTCACCTGGTGTTGGGTGTGGGCAGTGAGATCTGAGATCTCCCTTCTGACTCTGTGCTAAACTTGTTTTGACACAAAGCCAAGCTCCAGTCTCTCATGAGAAAAGAGGTGGAGCTCTAGAAACTTCTAGGAAACTGGAAAGATGGTCATGGAGGCCCTGGTAGACAAAGGACTTGGTGCAAGCCAGCAATTCCTTGGGGAGATACTGGGAGGCTCTGGGCTGGGCTGGCACCATCGCAGGGAAGAGGCTGAGGGCATTGCCAAGGGTAGTGTGTGTGTGTGCGCGCGCGCGCGTGTCCCATGAGTCACTGGAAGTGTCCATGTGGCCCCAGTATCCTGGACTGCCTTGGAAATTGCCCAGCCTGATCTCTTCAATGCCCATCAGGGAAGCTGGACCCAGAACCTGGAAAGGACTGGATCTGGGCCCCAAATACCATCTTTCTAGTCCAAACCTCTTTTCATGGCTTTGCATTGCCCCCAAGGGCCCCCACAAGCGGCTTCTGCGGTCCCATCCCCCTGCAAGCTGGATGCAGCCAGAGGGCTGACTTGCGTGGGTCAGAGCTCTGCGCTTTGAGGGGCGGCATGCTCCCGAGGTCAAAGGTAGCACATTCAGGTGCCAGGGCACAGGCCCTCTGCCTCTCCACCTACCCCGGAGGGTTCACAAAGCGGCCATGGTGCCCAGGATGGGCTCTGTGCTTTGTGCCCACAGTGTTACTACCCTCTGTCTGCCTGCAGGTCCCTGGCCCTGGGCCAGCAGTACACATCTCTGGGCTCACAGCCCCTGCTCTGCGGCTCCATCCCAGGCCTGGTCCCCAAGCAACTGCGCTTCTGCCGCAATTACATCGAGATCATGCCCAGCGTGGCCGAGGGCGTGAAGCTGGGCATCCAGGAGTGCCAGCACCAGTTCCGGGGCCGCCGCTGGAACTGCACCACCATAGATGACAGCCTGGCCATCTTTGGGCCCGTCCTCGACAAAGGTACTGCCTTGGGGCTGAGGGGGGGGGAGGGGCTGGGTGGGGGGAGGGATCAGGACTGTATGCCCTTCCACCCCAGTCAGGGTGCCTCTTCTCTGAAGCCAGGGTCCCTCTGGGAGGGTGATAAATTTGGTTGCATGACTGCCACACCTTCCCAGGCGCTGCTGGGGGCTGGGCCGCCTTGAGATGCTCCAGGATCCTGAGGTTTGAGGGCCGACACCAAGAAGGCCACAGACTTCCTTCCTGGCTTTTGCACAGTGGGCGCCTCAGGCTCCTGCTGTGGACATTTGTGACATTTCCCCAATGCTGTGTTAAGTGCTATGCAAATACCGCTTTGGGGTGGGGGTGAGAGCATTGCCACCCCTAGGTCCCTCCCATCTAGAAAGTCCTCAGTAGGTGAGGAAGCTGCCTGGTGCTGTGGTAGCATTGCGTTGCCCCCAAGAGCCCCTCTGGGTTTCTGTTCATCCTCATGCCCTGTCAGCTGGATATGCCCAGGAATCATGGTGGGGCTAGAGGGTGCACTGGCCTCTGGGTAACTTTCCGGCCGTCTTGCAGCCTGGGAGTCTAACTGGCTGTGCCTCAAGTGGACAGGGAACCACATGATTTGACTTTGAACCTGCAGGCCCTGGGAGGGAGGCTAAGTGGGACAACTCCTCCCAAGAAGGGGACTTGGGGGCTCATGGACTGGGTGGAAGATGGGCAGCTCTTTGTGGAACGGCAGTGTCCAGGAATTTAACGATCCTGGCCGGGCTGGCCACAGCCAGAGTTGCTCTGCCACCCAAACCGCTGAGCCTGGCCCTCCCTCCTATTAGAAGCTAGGGAATGAATGAGAGCTGCCTATACAGCCAGAAAGAAAAGGGATCTGACGTTCAGGTGAAGGGGTGGGGTGCTGGGTGGGGTTGGGGGGGAAGCTGACAACCCCCATTTTAGAGTGCAGTTCCCCTTTACCGGTGCCTCAGGTGCTCAGGGTCTGTCCCACCTACAGGCAAAGTGCTGGCTATTGTCATGGGACAGGAGGGTAATTAGCAAATCAATGGATGATGATTCTGTTTACGCTTCTATTGCCAAAACTAATTATTCCTTGTTGACATAAAAGATTTGGCCTCTTAATTGGGGCCAAGTGGCGGCGGTTTGCATTTCAAACTCGTTCTTGTCGGTGTGTTGGTCTCAGCGCTTTCCGGTGCCCCTCCTCGGGCCAGGTAGCGCTGAATCAAACAACCCTGCGTCTAGACGCGCTCCCCAAAAGCGAGTCACCTCTGATCGCTCTTCCCGTCTCCGGCCAAGAGCCAGGGGAAAGCGGCTCTGGGAGCGCTACCCATTCACTCCGCGTTGAACGTTTTAAGTCACCACCGTAGGTTCTGGCACACGCCCCGGTCCCTAGATGGCCCGAGGACAGGTTTGGGTTGCGGGGGGAGGGGCGATGTGTGCCCGAGAGTTTGGGAATTTGCTGGCGGCGGCGAGGAGAGCATCCCGGAAGACGCCGCGAGCGCATACGCGCCCCGGTCGGTGCCCAGAGCCCGGACCTTGAACCCAGGTTCGCGCCCAGCTCCGGCCCCACGTTTGCACCCCGCCCCCGGCGAGTCCCCACACCACCGCCGCGTGGGCGGCCAAGGGTTAATCTCTGCCCCGCGCTTTGAGACCCGGGGCGCAGCGGGTCGGGCAGCCCGGGGCGCGCGTCTTCCGCGAGTCTGGGGGCGGCGGGGTCGGCGGCCGGAAGGGGCGAGGCGCGGCGGCGGCGCGGCGGGCCCGAGGCGCTTCCCCAGGCGGGGGCGGGGGCAGGGGCGGGGGCGGGCGCCGGAGGGGCCTGGGCGGCCTGAAAAGCGCCCGAGCACCGCCCCCCCACCGCGCGGCCGCCGCGCCATTCACACGCCCTCTGGCCATTCGGCGCGGCGCGGCGCGGCGCGGGGGCGGGGGGCGCCGCTTCAATGGGGATTTCGCGGCCCGGCGCCGGGGCCGGGGGCGCGGCCCGGCCGCGGGAGCCGCCCGTTGCTACGCGGTGGCGGCCGGCCCGGCGGCCCGGGCCCGGCGGCCGCATTATGCGGGTAATGCGGTGTGACACCGCGCGAACAAAGGCGGATTGAGCGGCCCAGCGGGCCCCGCCGGACGGGGAAGGCACAGCGGGGCTGTCAGCGCCGCTCCCAGGCTAATCCCCGCCCCGCCCCCGCCGCCCCCGCGTTCCCGGGGCTGGGAACCCAGCGCGGCCCGGGGCCCGGGCGCCGCTGCCGCCGCGAGAGGCCGCAGGCCGGCCGGAAACGAGGGGCGCCCGCCCTGTGAACCCGCCCTCGGCCCCTCTTCCCCGAGGCGCCCCCAGGGCTGGGGCGTCTAGGATTGGGGCGAGTGAGCGGCGCGGCTGGGACCCCGAGGCCGGGAGCACAACTGGACGCGGGACGTCGGGCCCCCTTGCCGCCGTCCTCGGTCGGCCCTGGCAGCGCAGGCGCGGGGCGCGGGCGGGACCAGCTCTGCACTCTTCGCCCTCCCGTCGTTGGAAGTGGGACGGGCCCCTCTGTAGGTGGCGCAGGAGGGCGTGGGGGCCGCGGAGAGCGGCCGCGGGAGCCAAGAGGGGTCCCGGGCTTCCTTCTTGCAGCACTCGGCCCACAGCCCAGGAGGGGAGGCGGGCGCCTGGCTTCTAAATAAATTTGGTCACATTTATGACCAATTTTGCCGACTAGGCCGGCCCGGCGTTTCACAGCCTGTGTCAGGTGGCGAGTCACCTCCGGCTCCCGGGTCCTGCCATGAGGAGAGAGATGGTTGGGCTGCAGGTCTTGCAGGCCTTGGCCTCCCTAATCGTCAATGTCCACATCTATAAAATGAGTAAAACTTTCCATGTGAATGAAGCACATGCAGAGACGATGACCGTTGTGAGGAGGCTGGAGCACACCCTTGAGAGTCTCTCCTTTCCCTGCGCTGGACCCTGGGACAGAACCAGGGGAACTGCCCGGTGTCCCTACCCTTCTGGGAGGGAGTTGGCCGTGCCTGGGCGTGAGGGCAGGAGAATGGGGATGGGGAGACTGAGGCACGGGCCACTGCCCTCCTGGTGAGGGGCTCTAGGAGCGGAGGGAAGCCGTGTCCATTTTACAAAAAGGGCGACTGAGACCGAGAAAAGGAGAGGGGCCGTCCCTATGCATCCACGTGCGGAAGGGGTGGGCCTGGGCAGGTTTAGGCTGTAGATTCCCAGGCCTCCCTCCTTACAGACCTGGCTCTCACTCAGGCGTGGGAGGGCTCAGGCCTGTGCAGGGTGGTCTCTGGACTTTGGGAAGGTGGAGGGCAGGGGGTGTGGGACCAGGACAGAAGTGGCTGCCTTATCTCTGCAGCAACCTGCCAGAGGTTTGGTGTCGGCGCCTGTTTCTAACAGGCACTGCTTTGCCCTGTGGCATTTGAGGTCCTGAGCTAATCAGCAGCCCAGGGCCTCAGTTTGCTCATCGGTGAAGTGGGAATACCCAACTGGGTCTAAACCAGCCAAAGAGGGTGGGGAAGCTGCCTCCCTCTTGCCTCAGGGCTGGTGAGCTCTTCAACTCTTCCTGGCCTCGTTCCCCTCACGTCCTGGCCTGGGAGGTGGAGGCAGGGCAGGCGCTCCCAGGCCGGGTCCTGAGTGCTGCCTCCCCACGACCTCCCCGCAGCCACCCGCGAGTCGGCCTTCGTTCACGCCATCGCCTCGGCCGGCGTGGCCTTCGCCGTCACCCGCTCCTGCGCCGAGGGCACCTCCACCATTTGCGGCTGTGACTCGCATCATAAGGGGCCGCCTGGCGAAGGCTGGAAGTGGGGCGGCTGCAGCGAGGACGCTGACTTCGGCGTGTTAGTGTCCAGGGAGTTCGCGGATGCGCGCGAGAACAGGCCGGACGCGCGCTCGGCCATGAACAAGCACAACAACGAGGCGGGCCGCACGGTGAGCCCGGCTACCCTCCCCAAACCCTTCAGGGAGCAGCCCCCCGCTTCCCCTCCGGAGCTGCCCTGGCCCCCACCTCACCCCTTCCGGCAGCCCTGTGGGTCGCGGGCTCCTTTTCCCCTTGGCCAGGCTTGGCCTCCTCCCCACCCCACAGCCACTTCGTCTGTCCACCCTCCTTCCTCCTTGGGCAGTTCCTGGACTCCACCCCACCCGGGATGAGTCGGCCTGGGAGCATGGCCACCCCGTGGGATCAGGTGCCACCCACCACCCATCCTGTGCACCTTGGCACGCGGTGTAGGGCTGTCAAGTCCTGGGAACCTGGCTTTGAATTCAGCCTCCACTCCCTTACTATGCTTGTATGATCTAGGGTGAGTCACGTTAAGTTCCCAGCCTCAGTTTCCCCATGTGTTAAATGGAGATAACTCCTATTTCTTTTTTCTTTTTCTTTTCTTTTTTTTTTTTTTTTTGAGACGGAGTCTCGCTCAGTCGCCCAGGCTGGAGTGCAGTGGCTGGATCTTGGGTCCCTGCAACCTCCGCCTCCCGAGTTCAAGCAATTCTCCGGCCTCAACCTCCCAAGTAGCTGGGATTACAGGCGTCCGCCACCACACCAGCTAATTTTTGTATTTTTAGTAGAGACGGGGTTTCGCCATGTTGGCCAGGCTGGTCTCAAACTCCTGACTTCAGGTGATCCTCCCGCCTCAGCCTCCCAAGGTGCTGGGATTACCACCGCGCCTGGGCAACAACTCGTATTTCATGCGCTGTGAGAAGTGGACGTGCTGTCTACCCATGCTTGGGGTGTGAAGGGGGAGGGAAACATGGTCACTATTCTTTAGGTCTTGCCTCAGTCCCCATCAGTTCTCTTCCTGTCACAGAGGAGTAGAGAAGGCTGGAGGGAAGGGGGTGGGCAGTGGCAGAGAGGGAAGGCCTGGATGTGCCCCCTCGTGGGGTCGGTCTGTTGGCCAGCTGCCACTTCTCTCCCCCAGACTATCCTGGACCACATGCACCTCAAATGCAAGTGCCACGGGCTGTCGGGCAGCTGTGAGGTGAAGACCTGCTGGTGGGCGCAGCCTGACTTCCGTGCCATCGGTGACTTCCTCAAGGACAAGTATGACAGCGCCTCGGAGATGGTAGTAGAGAAGCACCGTGAGTCCCGAGGCTGGGTGGAGACCCTCCGGGCCAAGTACTCGCTCTTCAAGCCACCCACGGAGAGGGACCTGGTCTACTACGAGAACTCCCCCAACTTTTGTGAGCCCAACCCAGAGACGGGTTCCTTTGGCACAAGGGACCGGACTTGCAATGTCACCTCCCACGGCATCGATGGCTGCGATCTGCTCTGCTGTGGCCGGGGCCACAACACGAGGACGGAGAAGCGGAAGGAAAAATGCCACTGCATCTTCCACTGGTGCTGCTACGTCAGCTGCCAGGAGTGTATTCGCATCTACGACGTGCACACCTGCAAGTAGGGCACCAGGTAGGGCTCCGGGAAGCAGGGGGGAGGCTGGGAGCCTGGGCGCAGGGAATGGGGTTGTTTGCCCATCTCGTCTTCTTGACGACCCCCTTCTGTTTCTAAGCTATCCAAGACACACAAGTTCCCACAGCCAAAATAGGAAGCTAGGATTTTTCAAGCATCCGTGGGAATGGTCCTTGGGCAGAGACTTGGTGGATTGCACAAAGCACAGATAAAAACCCAGTGTTGGCCGGGCGCGGTGGCTCACGCCTGTAATCCCAGCACTTTGGGAGGCCGAGGTGGACGGATCACCTGAGGTCAGGAGTTCGAGACCGGCCTGGCCAACATGGTGAAACCCGTCTCTACTAAAACTACAAAAATTAGCCGGGCGTTGTGGCAGGTGCCTGTAATCCCAGCTGCTTGGGAGGCTGAGGCAGGAGGATTGCTTGAACCTGGGCGACAGAGGTTGCAATGAACTGAGATTGCACCACTGGACTCCATCCAGCCTGGGCGACAGAGTGAGACTCCATCTCAAACAAACAAACAAACAAACAAAAAAAAACAAAATTCAGTGTGTGCACATTAGGTGCCAGCAATTGATTAACATTTTTACACAAGTTAGTTATGAGCCAGATCAAATTTTTGCATAGCTGCTAGCTGTCATTCTTGAGCATTATTTGGAGATGGGGGGCTGGAAGCTGGGAGACCTGACGTCTGGTCCTAACTTTGTCAGTAACTTCCTGTTCTTTCACTTTTCTGGGCCTCAGCTTTCTTACTATAAAGTGGTGATGGTGGTGAAGGGCAGGGGGCAGTTTAAATACCTCAAGCAGCGAGCCAAAATGTCTCCTCTACCCCTGAGGCAGAGTCAGTGTGCATCCACCTTGAACTTAGAGGGCAAGTTCCTGCACAAGCATAAATCGTACCAACCTCAGGGAGGTGGGTGGGGGGAAGCGGCATATAAGCCCATATCCTGACAGATCTGAAGCTTGGGTGGAGTGGGGAGCACTCTCACCGAGTTTATGGATGATGACGGGGAGCAGGAGGGATTCAAGTTCAGAGTGGCTGGGATGAGTAATCGAGGGATCAAAGGCGGGTGGATTTTGTTCCCAAGCTTCCCAGAGGTGGCCTGCATGGGAGGCGCTATGCACTGGCCCTGGGTTCCACAGCACCCCGGGATAGGTCAGCATGGATGAGGAGTGGTCCTGGACCCCCGGGGTGGAAGGTTTTAAGGCTGGGGTGCCCTTTCTTCCTTTTCTGTCCCCTGAGAAGGAGCCTAGTGTGTCGAGGCATGAGCATGGGTGTTGGAATTAGGCCCTGCCCTGCTCCAGCTCCTACCACTTGCCAACCGTGTGACCCAAGCAAGAAATTCTTCATAGACCTGGTTCCTCATCTGTCATCCTCCCCAGAGATGCTGTGAGGGACAAATGAAAGGACACCGAGGACAGGGCTTGGTTAATTGGGAAGCACTTCCCTGCTGGGTCATTGTTGTCTGGGGTGCTGCTGGGCGAGAGCAGCCTGTGAAAGGGTAGAGTGCCCCCTCTTCCTGCAGTTCCACAGGGCACCTCTGAGCTACTGGCACATGTCTGTGCCATAGGGAGTAGGGGAGGGAAGTGGACGGGCCTCTCTGAGATATGGGAGGTACTTGACGTCATGGAGAAGAGCTCTGGCTGAGGGGCGACTCACTCAGCCCATCTAGGAAGCCCCTCGGTGTAGCTCAAGTTCTGTCCTGGTGGGGACAGTCCAGAAAGGCAGCAGGTGGCACTACCTTTGTCGGTATCTGAACAAAAGCAGTGTGGGGAGTGGGAGAGGACGAAGGTGAATCCAGCGCCTCCACTCGTCCACTCAGCTGTCTGGCCTGGGAGCGCCAGTTTCCTCCTCTGTTCAGTGGTGGTGACAATGGGAGCCCAGCAGAACTTTTTTTTTTTTTTTGAGACTGAGTCTCTCTTTGTCGCCCAGGCTGGAGTGAAGTGCGCAATCTCGGCTCACTGTAACCTCCGCCACCTGGGTTCAAGCGATTCTCCTGCCTCAGCCTCCCGAGTAGCTGGGATTATAGGTGCCCGCCACCACGATCGGCTAATTTTTTTATTTTTAGTAGAGACGGGTTTCGCCATGCTGGCCAGGCTGGTCTTGAACTCCTGACCTCAAGTGATCCACCCGTCTTGGCCCCTCAAAGTGCTGGGATTACAGGCGTGAGCCACCGCGCCCGGCCAGAATCAGTACTCTTCATCAGCCCTCTTTCTCCCCATTTCTGAAATGGACAATGAGTGTTTTTTTTCCTCAATCTTATGTAAAGTGCTACATAGATATGGTTTCAAGATGCTGTGTCCAAGTGGTTCCTACCCGGAACCCCTTCTCTGTGGAAGCTCTGGAGGCCTCACTCTGTGACCAGTGGAGGACACTCTCCCAACATGGTGCCCTTCTGATAAACACTCCCAGGCCAGCTCTTCTGCCTCGCTGAGCCCTGGCTTCTTCATTTGTGAACTGGGGATGAGAACTGTGTTCTGTGTAGGGTTGTCCTGTGGACTGGAGACCCTGCACATGAAGGGCCTGGCCCAGGACCCAGCTACTCACAGGGCAGCCACAGAGGCTCCTGGGCCAAGCAGAGCTGACCTCCCAGAGCCACCTCCCCAGGCGAGAGCCGCCTGCTCTGGAGCAATGGGCCCAGGCTCGGCCGAGACTCCGCTAGGCAAGACGGGAGCCTGCGGGATGCACTGGCAGGGATGGCAGGGGACAGAGTCGTTAGCTGTTCTCTTGTCTTCCCTGACAGTCTTGGCAGTGCAGGCAGGAGAGAGAAGGGAGTCGCAGAGCAGGCCCCGGGCCCTCCACACGGTGAGGAGAGAGCGCCTGTCAAATGGCTTGTGTCCTTCCTTTGTGGGGAAAACACCTTTTCTGTAGCTTTTTGTAGCTTTTACCCAGTGTCTCTGGCTAACCATTGATTTGGTGCCTTACAAGTGCCAGATTTATTCCTCGTCACTCTGCTGTTGTGAACATGGTGAGCTGGAGCTGGAAAGGTTCTGGCAAGAGTCGAGTGGCCTGGCTGCGCCCAAGTCCTGGATCTGTTACTGCCTTGCTGAGAGACCTTGGATGTGTCCCTTCAATCTGGCTGAGCCTGTTTCTGCCTCTGTAAAGTAGTCTTATCTTGGCCTTGTCAGCCCCCTAGAAGAGCTGGGGGTTGACTGGGAATGCCTCAAACCCTTTGTGAGATATGACTATGCAAATGAGTAAAATGAACACACTGCTGCTCCAATGGGAAGGAATTGTTCGTAATTAAGTAGGCTCTCTCCCATTTGGACAGCTCATTATCAAGCTATTTGGTGCGGTACAAAAACACAGTGCATGCCTGGCGTGAGCCCAGCACAGCAGTTGACTTGGAGTTGGGGACTGGGCCCTCGGCCAGGCACCGTTTCTCCCATCCTGAGTGACCTGCTCCTGGGCTTCCTGTTGCCCAAGGCCCTCAGCTAGAGGTGGGGGAGGTAGAATTTCGATCCCATTCTGTGGACTCGAAAGCCTTACTGCTCCTGTGACTCATACGACCTCCCTCAACAGCAGGCCCAAAGCACAGAGGAGAGCGTGGAGAAACCACCCAAGTCCTCATCACCTCTGAGCACCAGGGACACGTTCAGATCCATCAGCAGCCTCTGATCTTTGAACCCCAATGGGTGGTCTCTGGGAATGGAATTATGTTTCTAATTCTTCCTCTTGATTTTCCCCAAGGGCGCTGGGAAGGGGTGAAGTGTGTGGCTGGGCGGATTCAGCGAAGTCTCATGGGAAGCAGGACCTAGAGCCGGGCACAGCCCTCAGCGTCAGACAGCAAGGAACTGTCACCAGCCGCACGCGTGGTAAATGACCCAGACCCAACTCGCCTGTGGACGGGGAGGCTCTCCCTCTCTCTCATCTTACATTTCTCACCCTACTCTGGATGGTGTGTGGTTTTTAAAGAAGGGGGCTTTCTTTTTAGTTCTCTAGGGTCTGATAGGAACAGACCTGAGGCTTATCTTTGCACATGTTAAAGAAAATAAAAATGAAAAAAAATTTGACTCCAACAGAACAGGCTGGGCTAATGTGAGCTCTCAGCCTGGCAGTCAAGACATCAGCATGGGCAAGGTTCTGTTTCCAAACTGCTGCTTCTGGTGACATTCCAAGACGCCTGGAGGGTGGGAGTCAGGAAGTAGGACACACCCCTGCAGTCTCCTTTTCTTGGTCCACTCCCATTCAAATTTGAGCTAATTTCTCATTCTGATAAAAGCCATAGGTTTAGCTAGGATGAAGTGGTAGGAAGGTCCGTGGCAGTTGTTAGAGTAGGATTTGGAGTTTGGAAGAACTGGCAGCTCAGGGTGGCCTGGTCAGCCGTTTGAAGAGCAGCCATGTGTTCTTCTCAGTCTCATTTTCTCTATAACCCTGTTCTGCACGAGGGGCAGTCAGATCTCAAAATCTTTTTCTACCATTCTGCAGTTTCCACCGTCAATGCAGTTTTTTTTTTGTTTTTTTGTTTTTTTTTTTTTTTTGGTGGTAGTGGACCTTGTAAATAGGCTATGTAAGGGGGCAAGTCTTCTCTAGCTCAAATGGCTTCCTAAATAAATAAGCGGTATCTTCAGAAGGGGCCATTCAGTCCTTCCCAGCCCTGCTCACCTGCAGATTCTCTGTACAAATAACTCCAGGTAGAGCAGTTGGACTCCAGGTCACCTTAGTATAAGTTAGACAAAGGGTCCGTGAGGGAGTAGCCATCAATTCCTGAAATTCCAACTTTGTGACTAGCAGATGGGGAGGATGAAAACCATCCCTTTGCTTCCTCTCCAATACGGACCCATCTTACTGTGTCCTTTCCTCTCTGGGGCCAATGTGAGTAAACACAGACACAGAGTTCTTTCCCCCAGCTCTTCCTCCCTCACCTGCATGCTGAGATAGCTTCCATCCATGCAGTTCCCAAGGATCTGGATTAGAAGTTCAAAGGGGAACCAGCAGTCACCTACTCCCTTAGGTGAAGCATCTCACGGCTGAGTTCTCCCTGAGGCATACTGGTCCAGCTGAGCGTCCTAGAGAAAGCTAGCAAAAGGGAGGCACATGGATTTCACAGTATGAATTGGTTCAACAACTGTCTTAGGGAGAATCAGAAAGAAGAGATGCAGCAGGGGAATGAGCAGAACAAAGATTTTTCTTTCTCCCCCTTCTCTCTGGGGTCTACCTAACCCTGACCTAAAATACCAGGGCAGCGATCTCCCAGCTGGTGCAGGTGGGCTTGCCAAGATGGTCGTCCAGGAGCCCGCCTTCACTTCTAAATCTGCTGGCCACAAGCCCTGCTAAAGATACACATCTCACCCCCTCCGCCAAGTCTGAAATGCCCCTCCCCATCTCACCTTAGACTGAAAAGTTTTAAATCATGTCAACTGGATAATACTTGCTTTATGTGAGAATACTTCAGCAGAATGGATACGAATTTTCAAAACAATCTTTTCATATCTATGTATTCTATATTAAAAGTGATAAAGTCATGTTTCTGGGGCGTATTCAAGTAGCTGACAAGTAATTATTTAATAATAGTACATGAGTGCATTGTAATGATTCTCGCCGTAGTCAGGTAATAGTATCCAACCGAAATTTCCTACCAACCTGCTGTATCCAAAGTTTTGTAAAAAGTTGTAGAAGTTGTTGATCTTTTTGATTTTATATTCAAAAAGTCTCTTTTTATAAATATTATTTATTATACAATGTATATACCTTTGAGTTAACTAAGATTATATATTATATAAATATATATATATTTGGAGAAAATATATTTCATCATGCAGTTTTTTTCTGTTAAGTCATTAAAGAGAAGGTAAACAAACCTAAAATGGATACATTGTACACTGTGTGGAGTTTCCAGATTAATGCTCAGGAGGTCAAGGATACGAGATTCTGAACATGGTGGCCTCAGCTAATTAAATGACCAAGTGAAGGTTATTTCCTCTGTTTTCTAAGCAAGATCATCAGAGATGTCACGGACAGTGGGTCTGATACACCACAGTACATTTTTAAAGGCTTCTTTTGTTCTAAGTTAACTTCTAACAATGAATTTCCAGTTTTAGAAAACAACAACTTGTGTACTAATTCATTTCACAGACTCAAGTATTTTCAATGTATAAATTAATGTCACAGGCACTCCTAAAAGATGTGGCCCAAGGCCAGCAGACCGCAGGGGTGGCCACTGCCTTAATCCCCTCCTCACCACGTTTTCAACTCCATTTAATGGGAAAATAGGATTTTCTCTATTGAAAATGAAACTTGACTGAAAATTGTCTGTCCCCTGCTAGCTCCACTGTGAGAGCTAAGCCGTAGAGGGAGGTAGGCTGGTCTACAAGAAGAAAGCGTGTGCCCTGGGCTGTGGGCTGTCTGGAACAATTGTCATTTGAAGTTGGGTTTGGGTTTGGGTAGAAAGGGCCTGCCAGTGGGCATGCTCTGGGGATGGGCACCCTCTCAGATCGCCACTTCACAGGACCCACTGGAAGCTCACAGGTTATGCCTTCTCAACAATGAGATGCCACAAGTTGGTTTTATGACAACAGACAATCCTTTAGTTTTCAGACCTACCCATAAAATGTCACCTTTGGTTTATTCAGCACATTATTTCAGAGAATAACAAAAATGTTTTTTCTTTTTATTTCTCCTGACCTACCTCATTTAGGAACAAATCTTACCTCACTACGAAGAGAAATAATGAGAACAGGCTGGGTGGGGTGGCTCAGACCTGTAATCCCAGCACTTTGGGAGGCCGAGGTGGGTGGATCACTTGAGGTCAGGAGTTCGAGACCAGCTTGGCCAACATGGTGAAAGCCCGTTTTTACTAAAAATACAAAAATTAGCAGCTGGGCATGGTGGTGCATGCCTGTAGTCCCAGCTACTTGAGAGGCTGAGGCAGGAGAATCACTTGAACCTGGGAGGCGGAGGTTGCAATGAGCTGAGATCGCACCACTGTACTCCAGCCTGGGTGACAAGGCGAGACTCCATCTCAAAAAAAAAAAAAAACAAACAAAAAAAAACCAGGAAAATAAAGCCATGAGCCGCCTATGGTGGAGGCGGGCTGCTCTGCGCTGTATTCAGACCTGTGACCTGAGGTTAGGAATAGCCACCAGAAGTTGATGCACTCTGTTTTGTCCATGATGTGTCTTTAGCCCCTGAAAAGCTGAAACCACAAAAACTGTTACACTTCAGCCATACAACGAATCGGACACGTACAGGATACAGATCTCCTCTACATCTTACAGTCTGGTCATTTTTATTTCATTTCGACTTTTTATTTTTCTTTTGCATAAAGCTAATGCAGGTTGACTACACCTTTTCTGAAATGCTTGGGACCAGAAATATTTCAGACTTTGGAAGATTTGCATATATACAATGAGGTATCTTGGGGATGGGACCCAAGTCTAAACACGAAATTCATTGATTTCATATGCACCTTACACACATAGCCTGAAGGTAATTTTATGAAATTTTTAAATAATTTTGTGCATGAAACAGTTTAGACTGCATTTTGAATTTTGATTGCCACCTGTCACACAAGGTCAGGTGTGGAATTTTCCACTTGTGGCATCCTGTCGGTGCTGAAAAGTTTTAGATTTTAGAGCATTTCAGATTTTGGATTTTTAGATTAGGGATGCTCGACTGAACTTATCTATCCCAGAATTCTAGGTACTTTTTCCTTTTTTTTTCTTTTTTTTTTTTTTTTTGAGATAGGGTCTTCCTCTGTTGCCCAGGCTGGAGTACAGTGGTGTGATCATGGCTCACTGCAGCCTTGACCTCCTGGGCTCAAGTGACCTCCTACCTCAGGCTCCCGTGTAGCTGGGACCATAGGCATGTGTCACCATGCCCAGCTAATTTTTTAATTTTTTTTTTTTAGAGATGAGGTCTTGCTATGTTGCTCAGGCTGGTCTTGAACTCCTAGCCTCAAATGATCTCCCACCTCAGCCTCTCAGCATTGGGACTACAGGCATGAGCCACCCTGCCTGGCCAGTACTTTTTCAATCAATAAGATTGCCAAATATTTAAATGGTCCCTATTCATACTAATGAAGACCATTTGTAATCGTATGATTAGTTTTTAATTTTTAAGAGACAAGTGTCTATGTCACTCAGGAGTACAGTGGCATGATCATGGCTCAACACAGCCTTGACCCCCTGGGCTCAAATGATCCTCCTCAGCCTCCCAAGTAACTAGGACTCAGGCGCACTCTACTATGGTAATTAAAAATAAAATCTTTTGTAGAGATGGGGTCTTGCTGTGTTGCCCACTGGTCTCAAACTCCTGGGTTCAGGGGGTCCTCCCACTTCAGCCTCCCAAAGTGTTGGGATTACTGGGTGAGCCATCACACCCTGCCCAGTCTTATTTGATGGTTAAGGAGAATACAGTTGATAGCTGTGCTTGAACATGTAGTTTCTCCTTATGTATAAGTACTTACAAACGTCTAAACACAAGAGGACGTTGTTTAAAAATCTGAAAGAGACGACATAATGAGAAGATATCTTTCAAAGCAATATTATTTTATGAAGAAAGAAGGGAAGGAAAGCATGTGAGACAGTTCAAGGATGAGGGGATGAGGTACAAAGAAAGGTGGAAGGAAAGAAGGTAGGGAAAAAGAAAAGCAAGGAAACATGATGGCGACATGATTCTTGGTGTTACCTAATGCCGTCTCCCCTGGTGGCCCTGGGCATAGGGACATGTTCTTGTGTGTGTGGCTGGTCTGCACACTCGAGTGAAGTCAGTGCAGCTACGCATTGCTGCTACACTGCCACTGTTTCTCCTAGTTTAATAGAGAACCTTCTAGGAGGCAAAAATTTCTTACCATTAATCTTATACTCCCAAAATAGTGAGACAGAAGTTGCATGGCGTCTACGCTGGGAAAATTTCAAACATGATCCCTCCTTGGATATTTTGTCTTCACCCACTTGGGATGCTTGCCAATCACAGGCGCTATCTCCCGCATCTTTATGCCATGGTGCCCGTCCAGCACACACCCTTGTGGGCTCGTCTCCAGGACCCAGTCTCAGTACGGCTTGCCAGCTGATGAGAAACTCTACATCATTTTGCAATAAATTCTGCAACTTACCTGCTTTCTTGAACTCTCATACACACCCTTCCCCAGTCACTTATTTTATTTTTCGAGACAAGAGTTTTGCTCGTTGCCCAGGCTGGAGTGCAGTGGTGTGATCTTGGCTCACTGCAACCTCTGCCTCCCAGGTTCAAGCAATTCTCCTGCCTCATCCTCCCAAGTAGCTGAGATTACAGGCATGTGCCACCATGCCCGGCTAATTGTGTATTTTTAGTAGAGACGGTGTTTCACCACGTTGGTCAGGCTGGCGTCGAACTCCTGACCTCAGGTGATTGCCCGCCTCAGCCTCCCAAAGCTCTGGGATTACAAGTGTGAGCTACTGCGCCCGGCTGCCCCCAGTCACTTCTTTAAAGAGGCTATGGACCAAGTTGTCAGGCAAGGAAAATGAAATCCTGCTTTCACCTTCTGTGTTTGGGCTGGGGTGTTTGTTTATAGCTGACTCACTGTTTCAACAAGTCTGTTGATCAGGATTTGATTATTGTACACACTTCAATCTACTCCATGATTTTGTGACTTGTTGCTGAAACTTTTAAAGGGGAGGCTGCAATTTTTAGGATATGAAAAGACAGCCTTAAAGTAAAAACATATTTCTGACTTTAACCACAATTATGCAATTTTTCTGTGTGACATTGAAAAAAAGTGTCCCAGTGAAGATGTACAAATTTAGAAAGGATAAAATAACCTCCTCTTTTGAGGTTTTGATCTCAAAAACATCTTATGACAAAAAAATAGCCGGTTAACAATTCGCCTATAGATGAAGAAACCTAAGGCAGCAGCTAGCTGGAGCCTCCTTTGCTTCTTCACAGGCCGTTCTGTAATCTCATACGCTCTGCTGTACAGCACTGGCTTTGAAGAATATTTGGGCAGCTTCAAGAACCCACCTTCTCAAGGCTATGCAGGGACCAGGTCGGCCTCAGGGTCCTCCTCCCAGGAACTCCCGTTGTGGAAGTTCTTGAAGCTGGCCTCTTCCCCACAGGGCCTTGTGGACTTTCTGAGCTGCCTCCTGTCCTAAACTGAGCCAATGCTAAGGATCAAGGTTTAGGAGGTTAAGAGATCTGATAGCTCAGAAAAATGTAAAAAACTATGGAGGATACAAAAGTGAACCATGTGAAGCAATCTCACTGAGAGCCTTGAAGTTCCTTGGTTTGTACATTTCACAGAAAGGAGTAATTCTAATTGAGTGGCAACCCTCCTTTCTGGTTTATTACTAACCTTGTTTGTGGCTTAGGTACCTGAGTTGATTTTTTTTTTTTTCTTTTTCTGAGACAAAGTATTGCTCTGTTGCCCAGGCTGAGTGCAAGTGGCGTGATCCTGGCTCACTGCAACCTCTGCCTCCCAGGTTCAAGCAATTCTCCTGCCTCAGCCTCCTGAGTAGCTGGGATTATAGGCATGTGCCACCACACCCGGCTGTTTTTTGCATTTTTAGTAGAGACAGGGTTTCACCATGTTGGCCAGGCTGGTTTTGAACTACTGACCTCAAGTGATCCACCCACCTCAGCCTCCCTCTCGGATTACAGGCATGAGCCACCGTGCCAGGCATTTTTTTTTTTTAGTAAGATAAAATAAGTATAAAGCATAAAGATGGTTGTATATTAACTTTTTCTGATACTCTAATGATGTTTTTAAATAACTATACTTTCTAAATAAGAGATTTTTAAAATAAAAATCATCCCTCATGTTATGCTACTTGTAACAAAACACGGAGAGGTTTCTTTCCTGAGCCCCCTCCTTCTTCCTCCATTCCTATCAGCTGTTCATGTCGTTCTATATGAAACACTGGTCTACAGAACATTTTCAAGTATATTTACTCTTTATTGCATTCCTTCATTTGCATTAAACAATATTTTTTCAATACAGTTTTGGACAAAACACAAAGACATTAAGCTCATTTAACAAGAGACATAAGTTAACACAATGTGTGCTGCTTTCATGAGGAGGAAAGAGGCAAGATCTTAGAGGAATCCAGGATACTGGCCACCAGGAATCACAGGATCTCACAATACAATCCACTTCTTTAAAAGCCACAAAATAAGCTAGGGAAGAAAACCCAAAACAAAGAAGATATGACATCCAAGTCTCCACCAAAAGTATACAAATGGCAAGATTTGGAGATGATCTGCTTTCTCACATGAGGACAAATAACAGAGGAGCCACACCCAAGTGCCACTGTGGCCACAAGCCTCATGGGTGGCGTGTGAGGTAAGCACCTTAGGATGGCTTCTAATTGCTTGTCCTTGCATTTTAAGCAGCAGTTGGGAGAGAGAGGCACACTCCATAAGTCTCATCACCAAATATGACCTAATTAAATTCCTGCTAAGTCAGTCAGTTGTAAGACAAATCACCCTCAAAAGGACTCAACGGGTGCTTCCTTTTGGAAGAAGTGTGTGGAGGGTAAAGGAAATGTGTTCAATGTATTGGAATGGACAATAAAGGACTGAGGGAGAGGGCTAGAAAATGATTGATTTTTCTGGAGAATAGTGTTTTAGACACTAGATAGTACAGATCATTTAAAATAAAGGATAAATTCTAAGTAAGTCATTAAGCTAAGGAAAAAGCAGTGATACTAGTAAGCCTTAATATTATACTAAGGAATTGACCCACTTGGAGTTGGACACTAATTAGTGCTGAGAGGTTTGTAAATTACTTTAATAACTCCTTTCTGTTTGGGGGTGTATGCTTTTTCCATACCTATCTTTCACATGTTTTTAACAACATCTTCTAAGTGGTAATAATGAGCATATCTCTTACCACAGAGCAAATTAGTTATACTTAAGGGGAAGTCACAACCAACACGGTAGTCATCTGACTTTCTATTAAGAAAGATCTTCTGACTGCAACTTGAAAACATCTCTGACAATGATTGAGAACAGCATTTTAGAGATTCAATGCCTTGTTTCTTCAGGCAAAGAGAATACCAGTCTTGTGGGAGACCTTTAACCAAATACCCAGTGACTTTTAGTGTTAGCTCAGGACAGCTGTCAGAGGATCTCTGGCCCACACCTCGATTTACTAAGCCAGATTTGCATGTAGAAAGTCTGCCTTCTAATCGGCCAACTGTTGTCATGCAACATTCATGACACTGACTGAGAGTTTTCAAGGGTGATGGTGCTAGTAGAGAGGTTGAAACGTGTAGTGTCCACAAGTACTGGATGGTTCCCACCCAGAGGGACTGAGCAAGAAGGAATCACTTTAGCCTGCATGGGAAGGTAAGCGCAGCATTCTAAACCAAATTGACACCTTCCACGAGACACTAAGCTATCTCAGTATGCATAAGGAAGGGAGTTTTATTGCACTAATCATGCAGAGCGAGCACATGTTGAAGGTAGAGAACGTTCCACTTAGTCCAGTATCTTGAGTAAGACAGTGAAGATCCTAGGCCATCTTCACCTTGGTCACTTCCCTTGGTCACTGTGTGTTTCAAATAGTTCATTTTCAATCAAAATCAAGGGGGCTACTGCAAAAGAAATACCAAAACACAAAAAAACAGATGAGGGTCCGTAAAAAACTATTCATCAAAAAAAAAAAAAAAAAAATCACTAAAAGCTTCTTAATGGTTATCCTACATTTCCCACTATGCATTTGCTATTAGATGAGCACTTCACAAAAGAAAATGGTCACAGCTCCATGCATGTAAAAGCAGGTTCCAATAAATATGTACCATTAAGTTTTTCCTGCATTGTGACAAGGAAGTTTTGCGAAGCAGGACAGGGAGAGCAAACCAACAGTACAACCAACTTCCTTGCTTGGTCTCTCGGACCTACAACACAGCGAAGAATTCAAATAAATGGAAACAAACTTATCTAGGAAAGCAACTCTTAGAATAGGCACAGGGATTTAACAGGGTGGTAAGTTTGGTTGATGGTCATTAAATGTTGTATGTACTTACGCTCCTTCTTCTCTTAAGAGGGCCAAGAATTTTCTCACACGGTATTCAGGATCCATCTAAATACATCAGAAGAAATGAAGATGGGTTAATGGTACCTTCTAACAACTCTGCACTTGCTTCATGAGAAGGCAGTGTTCGGTTTCACACTTCATCAATGCTCTGCTAGGTCACTGAATGTGTTACCTGCTCCTTGACCAGCATTCTCACACAAAACAAAGCAGATCACATCATTTGGAGGAAGTGAATGGGGTTTTCCAGAACTATGTACACTGGGTTCCAAAAGACCCAAGCCCGCTGGCCATCATAGGCACTTGGGCCAGGCGTGCCCTGTGCTGATGCCTGTGAGGCATCGCTGTGAGACTGGACAGGGCCATTCATCAGAGTTCAAATGACAACCAATTCACCTGTTGAAGGTGTAAAAGGCTACTAAAGTCACAGCAAAGTAGAAGATACCAAGTTGAGGTTAATTCAACAACTAAAAAATAGCTTATTAACTCTACATAACCAACCATGTAGCTTTTCTTAGCCTCAGTATCCGTCATATAGTTTCTTCTTTGTAGTAACAAAGTTGTGCTAAAACTAAAAAAATGAAGAGTACTGCTGATTCCTGAAATCATCTCCAGATGAATCTGGGTCTCCTGTGACTGCGAATGTGTCATGAGTCTAAGAAAAGATGGCGCAACTTTGTTTCAGGTGCTTCGTTCAGGTCGTTATTATTAGCTATCTCGACTGGTTTTCATTTTCTATTCATATTTATACTAACTCGTTAAATGTACTTTATTCTCGTAGGCCCACAGGAGATATGAAGTTATCTAGAAAACAATCGTTAAAAACATCTTTAGTTCCTGAAGATGAATTTTTATTGTAAGAAACACACCTAACTTTTAAAATATGTTTCAGAGCAGGAGTCTGTTTCCCAAGAGGGAACTCCCTGCCCTCCAGGAATAACTTTCAAATGCTCAGTGCAGCTGTGGGGAGATGTGCAATTGGACTCCCACTCCAACCACGGATTTTTTTTTCTTTTCTTTCTTTTTTTTTTAAGATTTCTTCTATCCCAGAAAAACACTGAACAGAAGTTTCAAATGTATCAAAGGTAAGAGGTCAGACTACAAAGGACTAAGAAAAAGTGTGAATAGCTAACAAAAGAAACATTTTTCCTTTTTGGGAATAGAATTACATATGAATCAATTGTCAAGTTCTTAAAAAAAAAAAAAAAAAAAAGAACTGGCTGGAGCGCAGTTGTAGTTGGTACTTGCAGTTCTTTGCCCATTAAATATATTTAATATGTGTGAGCAACAACTTACTGACTTGCCTGTAGCTATGGAATTAAAAGTCAGGAGAAAGGGAGGAAAAAAGTAATCTAGATAAATGACTTTATTCCCTCAGGTGACATCCAGTCAGAGCAGATCCTCAGCTCTGTGCAAGTTTTAACAGAATAGCATGTAGTGAACAGAGAGGTACCACGACTTATATTCTGCAAAACTACATGCCTCTTCACTTAGGTTCAGCCTCTCTAAGGCAGATCTAAAGAGAATTCACTCAGCTGCACGAAATCCATTTGACATGAAGGGGTTCAAACTCAGAGGCCTATGAAATGTCAGTCGCTGAAGATCAGGCCTGAGTGCCCCACTCTCACTCTCTATCCCACATGCATAAGAAGCATTAACTTGATCACTGACCTGCAGGCATCAAAGGAAGGGAAAGGGATGAGGGTTGGGGAAAAAATCCACATAGTTTCTTCTATGCAATTATTGAAAAAAAATTATACTGAAACTTAAAAAAAAAGAAGCTGACAATCTGACAGATTTATCTTTTTTTCAAGGAAAGAGCCAATACACCTGTATTTGCACTTTTACCAAGAATAAGTCTAAACAAAGTGGTTAGTCTGTGACTTTAATTTATGGCTCATAATGGAAAATAAATTAATTGACTTAAAAATAGTCCATCTGAAAGCTCAGTAGATTAAATTAGATTTCTGAAAGTCAAAAAAATTTTATTTTCAGATAAATTTACCAGAAAAGATTAAAAAGCATTCACTTCACGTTTCCAATTTGTTATTGGTCCAAGAGCCTATTTCAGATGTAACTGTGAAACAGAAACTTCACCTCTGCCGCTCACTGCCCACACTAGCAGAATGCAGGACCATCAGTAAGTAACACATGATGCCTAGAATACAGCCACTCTGTCCACCTAGATGGACCTAGTAACACCTAGTAACACATGATGCCTAGAATACAGCCACTCTGTCCATTTACCTAACTGTAAAATGAATTTACAGTTATTCATCCAACAGAAGTTTACTGGCCGGGCGCAGTGGCTCACGCCTGTAATCCCAACATTTTGGGAGGCCGAGGCGGGCAGATCACCTGAGGTCAGTAGATCGAGACCGGCTTGGCCAACATGGTGAAACCCCATCTCTACTAAAAATACAAAAAATTAGCCAGGCATGGTGGGTGGGCGCCTGTAATCCCAGCTACTCAGGAGGCCGAGGCAGGAGAATCCCTTGAACCCGGGAGGTGGAAGCTGCAGTGAGCCGAGATCATGCCACTACTCAAGCCTGGGCAACAGAGCGAGACTCCGTCTCAAAAGAAAAAAAAAGAAAAAAAGTTACCGAGGGCCAGGCATAGTGGTGCATGCCTGTAATCCCAGCACTCTGGGAGGCTGAGGCAGACGGATTACTTGAGCTCGGGAGTTCAAGACCAGCCTGGGCAACATAGTGAAACCATGTTTCTACAAAAAATACAAAAATTAGTTGAGTGTGGTAGCACACGCTGGTAGTCCCAGCTACTTGGGAGGCTGAGACGGGAGGAACGCCTGAGCCTGCGAGGTCAAAACTGCAGTAAGCCATGATCATGGCACTGCATTCCGGCCTGGGAGACAGAGCGAGACCCTGTCTCAAAATAATAATAATAATAATAAAAGTTTACTGAGCACCTTCATATGTGTTGGCTCTGTTCCAGGGGCTGTGGACTCAATAGTAAGAGCCAAGGTCTCTGAACTCATAGGGCTTGATAGGGAGGTATTTATCAGCTACCTAGTATGTCAGATAAGGACAAGAAGACACAGCATGGGCACATGGAAGGGTGGAGTTCTAAAATGAAGAAAGGTAAGTTGCCAGGAGATATGAGAAAGTCCCAAAGAAGTTTCATCTGTCTTTGCCCAGGCAGCACCCTGGGGCTCAGTTTTCTATGTGATTCTGGATGCTTCAACCCTACAGTAGTTTGCATGAAATTTCTAGGAGCCCAGCCAGGGACAAATATACAGATCCCAAGTCTAGACTGCACAACTTAATTAACTTGTCCCTTAAAGCAGTCTCCCAGACACCGTTTGGTATATGTGCAGTCGCTTACTGACTTGAGGTGCAACACCATCCCTTCTCCATCAATAACCTGGTGATGTGATCTTGGATAATTCACTGACAGCCTGTGGCTCACATAGTATCCTCATCTCCAAAATGAGGGGGCAGAAGAACGACTGCTCTTTGAAGTCTTTTCTAGTTCTAAGACCTAGTGGCTCCCTAAATGAAAACTAACTTTATAATCTTTCCTTCCATTTTTGAATTTTAAGAAGTTAAAAAGTATTGTTAAGTGATCAATCTCAGAAGCAGGCTACTAATACCAAATTAAGTTTGGAAATAATATAAGAAAATCAAAACTTAAATTAATTAAAACCTTGGCAAAGGAAATACTGAACCCTCTTGGTGTGTCCTGAAGCTTTGTTCTGTCTGAGTCATACGGAGAACGAAGTACCTTACCTGTAGGGACATCTCGATCAGCATTAGTAACTTCTTGATTCCTATCCAGACTTTCTTCCCTTTGACTTGCTGTGCAATTGTGGTGCGTTCCTTATCCTTGAAGTTGCCCAAAAGCTACAAAAACAATAAACAATAATCAAAGCACTTTTACAGTGAACACATCAACATTGGTTAATTCTATTTACCTTTAAAAGAAGAGTGATAAGAACTACCTAACTGTTCAAGTTGATAGAATTCTCTCCTACTTTAAAATCCAGTCTGACCTTCACCATCCTAAACCCATTAGGTGCAATCATGAAAGTGAAAACTGGTATCTTAAACCCTGTTTTCTTATGGACCGCTATGTAACTTATATTTTCTGGGGAAAAAAATAGCTCCAATCCATAATAAATATAAGTTAAAATTTTTAACATTCTTTTCTAGGAACAATCTGTATGTGTCAAAGCAAACTCCTTTAATTCTCTTACCCAGCTTCTGCACAAAAGCTGTCTACATGGGTAACCTGAAAACATTTATCATATAGATAAATTTCAATTTTGTTGGGGGCCTTGAGGACTTTAAGAAGCTTTACTGACTCCACCACTGCTGAACAACTCAGTAGATAATATTTTCCAATAGAGCTCACCAAGTTACTTGTGAATATTGATATTAAAAGTTAAATGAAGAACGTTCTTTTTTAAAAATGACTGTCATTTTCAAAAAATTAAGAAAACATTTCTATTTCTAAACTTGTTAATAAAGTTCCTTTTACTTCTGTAGCTTTTTTTTTTTTGACATTTCTAAGGCTTTAATCATTGTTCCAACTTATTAAATGCAAGGAAATGTGCTAAAAGCCACTATGAATGGTTAATTTTTCTATACAGTGATTACCTTACCCCCACACCACCACCCATTCAAGTTTCTGGTCCAAGTAATCTATATACATCACTCATGCTGGATACAGAGCAATTAATTCCTGGCAGTTTGTAGCTGCCTACATTGAGGAATGGGAAATTAACTCACTGTCATGTATATTCATCTTTCTTCTCTAATTCCTGAAAACAACTGGAGGTACAGGTTGAGTATCCCTAATCCAAAAGTCTGAAATCTAAAATGCTCCAAAATTGGAAACTTTCTGAGTGCCAACATGACATTCAAAGGAAATGCTCACTGAAGCATTTCAGATTTCCAGATTAGAGATGCTCAACCTAAATATAATGCAATATTCCAAAATCTGAAAAAATCTGAAATCTGAAACACTTCTGGTCCTAGGCATTTTTTGTTGTTGTTAGAGTTTTGCTCCCTCACCCAGACTGGAGTGCAGTGGCACAATCTTGGCTCACTGCAACCTCCGCCTCCTGGGTTCAAGAGATTCTCCTGCTTCAGCCTCCTGAGTAGCTGGAACTACAGGTGCCCACCACCATGCCCAGCTAATTTTTGTATTTTTAGTAGAGACAGGGTTTCACCATGTTGGCCAGGCTGGTCTCGAACTCCTGACCTCAAGTGATCCACCTGCCCCGTCCTCCCAAAGTGCTGGGATTACAGGCATAAGCCACCGTGCCTGGCCTAGTCCCAGGCATTTTGGATAAGGTATATACAACCTGTAATATCCCCGGGTCCCATGTTCCAGATTAGCATAAAAACCAAACACCAGGTATAATGTGGTACTACTTATTTCAGCCTCAATTCCTTTCTTATAAACAGTGTGCAATCCATTGACTCATTTTTACCTCCAAAGCTTCCAACAGCTGCTCTCCTGTGGCAATGTTGGGCACGTGGATGGTGGTGCTGAAAGCGTTAAGCATTTCCATCTCCTGAAGGACATCTTTGCGGCTAGTGGTCCCAATGATAAGAAGCTTGCGGCCCTGATCATAGGGAGAAAATGTGTTAAAATGTACATAATAAGACTAATTAGGAAACTACAGTAAGCTTGAACACAATTTGCAAAAGACTTTTATTTAATCTTGCCGATGCAAATGATTAGGCAAAACAGAAGAAAACAATTCAGGATTTTCCTGAAAATCCTGAAAAAAGGTACCAACCACATGATTCAGAAAGTGGCAACATGTGAACAGCTCCTTCTCATTCACATCAATAAAACAATGGATTAGTAAATCAAGAAGATACACAAACAAATGGAAAGATACTGACGTGTATGTATGTAATTCCTTCCTCAGAGCCAACATGGCACATGTATGGTGGGAATTGGGGAAAAAAGATGAAATGAATAGAAAGTATGTGGCGCTGGCTTTACAAGGCTTTAGTACACTTTTTAGAAGGAGCAGGGTAATAAGAGTTTATATTTATGCAACACTGAACTGTAAAAGGCATGGGCTAAAGTGCTTTCCATAATTGTCACATTTAATATTTTTCATTTTTACTTTTAACCCCAAAATATTTTTTTAAAAAAAGTTTAAAAACTATGCCAGGCTTATGCTACCATTCTCAGTTCCCTTTCTTCAAAGGCAACCATTTTCAATTCTCTTGGCTTTTCTTCTTATATTTACTTCCTTATCTTCAAATAATAATGTTACATTACTGGTTTTAGATTTTTGTTTTCAGCTTTAAATATGATTTACTAACTTCCTACCATGGAAGATGGGGATTTATTATTAATTTTGCACTACCCCCCTTCCCCCACCACATGCCCCTTTTTACATCCTTCCGATACAGTTATTTCACAGTCTTTAGTTAAATCTATATTCAGTATTTATTATGTTTATACAAATGTGGTTTACAGCTAGGCCATGCAGAGTACTATTCAATTTCCTTTCTTGGACAACATTTTGTTTTACTGGAGTTAATTGCCTTTTTCCCCTTTGCTTAGTTTACCAGGTACTTATCACAAGTTTGTCTCTAAAACAATCACAAGTCTCCTTTCAGTATGTTCAAACACATTACATAGTTTAAAGTTGTGTTCTTGAAGAAATTCCCCTCCAGGAGTCCTCTGTGTTCACAGTTCAATCTGAAGCGGTGACTCTCTAGGCCTGGGGCACAGCTGTAGTTCTGGAGCTTTCCTCTCTCTTCTGTTAGATTCCCTGTATCCCAGCCTTCCTTTTCCTCATCTATTCCCCTGTCTATGCTGCATGTACCCAAAAGCTTCCTCAGAAAGAGTGAGGGAGGTAAAATTTTAAAGACCTTGCATGTCTGGAAATACCTTTATTCTAGCCTTACTATTGTATCCTTTGTCTTAATAGTTTGGCTAGTTGTAAAAAATAAGGTTAGAGGCCAGGTGTGGTGGCTCATGCCTATAATTCCAGTGCTGTGGGAGGCCGAGGCAGGTGGATCACCTGAGGTTCAGGAGTTTGAGACCAGCCTGACCAACATGGCGAAACCCCATCTCTACTAAAAATACAAAATTAGCTGGGCATGGTGACACGTGCCTGTAATCCCAGCTACTTGGGAGGTTGAGGTAGGAGAATGCTTGAACCCAAGAGTCAGAAGTTGCAGTGAGCCGAGCCAAGATCACGCCATTGCACTCCAGCCTGGGCAACAAGAGCGAAACTCCATCTCAAAAAAATAAATAAATAAATAAAAAGGTTAGAAATAATTTTTTTCTCACAATTTTGAAGGCACTGAAGGCTAAAAGACAAATGCTATCTGATCTTTGATCTTTTGTTTCTAACCTTTTTAATACAAAACTTTCAGAATCTTTTCTTCATTCCTATGTTCTGCAATTTGAAAACTACATATCCTAAGATGGTTCTTTCTATACTCATTTTGCTGGCACTAGATTCCTTCTTTCTAAACTGGAAATTCCAATCATTCAGTTCTAGGAAATACATTTCCTTGAGATTTCCTCCCATTCATTTTCTCTGTATCACCCACTGGGAACCTCTTAGTTGGATACTGATTCTCTAGGACTAATCTTCTAATTTTCTTATTTACTCTTAGTTTTTATTTCTTTCTCTTTCTAATACTTTTCAGGTTAGTATCAATTTTATCTTCCAACCTTTACACTAACTTATTTTTCAGTTCTAAGAGCTCTTCTTGTTTTCTGAATGTTTTCTTTTTTAATTGCATCCTGTGCAATTAAAATACAATATCTTGTTTTAGATCTCTGAGGCCGGTGGCTCACACCTGTAATCCCAGCACTTTGGGAGGCTGAGATGGACAGATCACTTGAGCCCAGGAGTTTGAGACTTGTCTAGGTAACATGGCGAAACCTCATCTCAACAAAAATACCAAAATTAGCCGGGTGTGGTGGCAAATGCCTGTCGTCCCAGGTACCTGGGAGCCTGAGGTGAGCAGATCGCTTGAGCCAAGGAGTTTGAGGCTGGAGTGAGCCGAGATGGCACCACTGCACTCCTGCCTGGGTGACAAAGTGAGACTCTGTCTCAAAAAACAAACTTGTGAATATTATAGATTGCAAAAATGATGTTTTCTTCTGTTCCTTGTTTTGTCTGTTTCCTATGACTTGCCCCTTTTTCCAATTTGTTTTCTGGAGGCTTTCCTCAAGTGTCTGGTGATTGCTGGATAGCTAATTCACATTTAAGAGCTAAACTATGAATGGAAATACTGTGTCGGGGGGCTTCACTATAGGATGATCAGGTAAGACCTGGCTGATTACTGGGGGTCCTTCAAAGGTCAGTATGTGTACATTTTTCCCAGAGAAGAATCTTCCAGTCTCCTTCCCAAAGACTATAAAGCCTCGTTGCCAGCATACTGGAGTCAACAGGGTAATGTTTCTGGGTATCTCGCCATTTAATAGGGACACCTCCACTTAATCCTCTTTGTAGTATGGCACCTCTCCAGATCAGTCTCTCAATTAATTTTCATTATAATCATGACAATTCAGTACTACTACTATCCCCATTTTACTGATGAAGCTATTGAATCTCACAGATATAAGTCATTTGTGTTCAAGGCAAGTCATTTGTGTTCAAGGCCAAATAACCAATACATGATGGAGCCAAGACTGGAAACCAGATCCAGACCTAAATCATATACTGCCTGTCTTTACAAAGAAAAACACATTACTAAAAAAGTTTACTTGGAAAATGAAAAAGGAATAAGTTTTAAACTTATGTCACTAGATTTATAATACACACTCAGTCCATAGATAAGTCTTCAGTAAAGACTAATCATTGAACCTATACACAGATCTTGGAAATTCAGAACATTAAAATAAATGGGCTATCGGGAAAAGATTTTAAGAAACCAAAATAATTTCAATTTGGGTTTGGTAAACATTATACCACTACTGTCAATAAGACACATTAGCCTTTCTCAATGTTACTCATTGTTTTTATCCACCTGCTGTGCCAAGAATGGGCAAGGTACCACCATAAACCAATGCAGATCAAAGAAACAAAGTTGAGACCCTCTGGTACAATTAGCCATTAGCTTAACAGATGACTGCGCATAGAATATGAGATAGAAGTACACCTGTGAGCATTCAGATTAAAGGGTAATCATTATTATTATTTGAGGAATCAACTAGGAAAAAATCAAATGCTTATCATCAGACATTTACCAAGTTCCTAGATGAATATGCAACAGACCTTCCACAGAAAGACAGATGCAAAATAGATAATTATAGTACAATATGGAAAGGTGGAGGTATTACGCACAAGGATGTCAGGTAGAGGGAAGAAACACGTGGCAGAGAAAGCTTTTTCTGGAGGAGATGATACATGAGTTGAGTCGTAAGGAATGAGTAGGTTGATTAGGAAGATGAAGGGGAAGGACATTCTAAGCCAGAGGAACAGAAATACCTAAGTCCAAGGGCAAAATAACAACAAAAGCTGGGTGTTGAGGTAATTACAATCGAGTAAAGACATACATTTTTACTATAACAAAAAGTGGTGCTGTTATATTTAAAGTATTTTTTAACACTAAATTCTAATGGCAAACTTGGGAACATAGCCCTAAAGGCTAACAGATGCCAAAGGCCACACATGCTGATACATCCTCAGTATGATTAAAGGTAACTGTTACTTCTCTTTTTTAGCTTTTTAATGTTCCATAGTCCATAATGCAAACTTCCTCATCTTGCTCCTCTCTCACAAAGGACAATGTTGGCCCTAGAACAGTGGCACTGAGGAAGAAGCTTCTTACTCATTCCAGAAAGCCGGACTTTTAAAATCGCTGCCAGTTTCCTCATGAGATGTTCTCTTACATTAACAGTGACTATGCTCTTCAAAGTGTTGAAAGATTGGGAAATGTAGAGCAACCATACTGGAGACGCTAATTTATGTTTTGCTTTCCTTCTTGTTTAACAAGACTCCAAAAACTGCAAAGAGGTCATGACCCAGGCAAGTTTGGGTCTTGACTTGTAAAGCGTCATCTTTAAGAAAACATTGAAAAACATTACCAAATTATTAAATTGTGCTGGGCCACTTTGTGTATTAATTAGTGGTAGTGCTCATAAGGAAGCTTTATCATGAAAAACAGCTCCGAATATATTAAAGTGATACATTGCATGGGATTCGTCTGAAGGGAAACACTGCCAGCAGCATGAAATGGGGATGCAGCTTTAAAAACAAAAGTGGTGCTCAACCCAAGAGGGGACCTCCACCTTCCTAATGTGTGGCCACCAGTCTTAATGTCCACAGTGCCCAAACATGCCCCTTGACGGAAAGCAAAAAAAAAGCACAGAGTGATAACCTATTTGGGAAAAAAGAAATTGCTCCCAGCATACTCTTTACTGAGATTTGCTAGTCCTGATGCTATAAAGAAAAAGCCTAAGTAAAATGACTATCTGCCAATCGGATTATGATAAACATTGTTCCAAGGTTAAATAAGTATTAGTTAACTAATTCTTAGTACCATAAGCAGCAACTCAGGTGAAAACATTTCCATGAAAAAGGCAGGGCTCAGTCAGGTGTTGATCCTTCAAAAAAAACACTTCTTTACATGATGAAGAATGAGCGAGTACTAAGCAGCATCTAAGCCTTTTGCCACACAAAGGACCAACCAGATAATCCACACCCTTTCATAGGTCTTGCCCATTGATTGGACCCAATAAACTGATTTGTAACAAAAGTTCAAGTGGAAGAAAGCTTTTTTTTTTTCCCTAAATAAAAATGCCACTAATATAATACTGCAGTGAAATGGAAGGGCTGATTTCAACCTATGAACAAAAGTAAAGTCAGTTATGCAGGAAAGAAAGGCCATTCTTTCCATATCATTCAATGCTGAGCAAGTGTAATACACCCTTGGTAAGAAGAATTAACTGTGAACAATTGAAAACCCTGAAATGGATTAAGAAGTGAGTTTAAAAGTGCAACTCAAAACTGCTATGTGCTGGGGGCATTAAACTTTATTTTCTGCTTAGTAGAATCTGATGTTTTTGTAAATGAGAGTGAAATATTTCAGAATATTAAGCATTTGTAAATCTGGTAAGTAAAATATGAAATAGACATTAGCCAATTGGAGCATTAACAATAATTTACTCCTTTTAGGTACTTAATAGAATTATGAGATTTGGTTTGTGCCTTCAAATAAGTTACAACTTAGCTGGGAAAACCAAATAAATATTCAGGGAACACAACCAAGTAACACACTCGCAAATACAAACTAATCATGGCGGAGGGCACCCGGTTTATGGGGACAGTTTCCTGGAGGGGGGTTATCTAGGAAGGTTATCCGTAGTACTGCAAAGACAATGACAACAAGTAGGCACTGGCAAGGCCCTTGAAAAGAAGGGACAGGTCCTGAATGCGCCTAAATCCTATGTGTGTGGTAGAAGCAGCTGAGACAGAGCACCAAGGCTGAAAACGAAGTTGTCTGCAGACACAGGGAGGGAACAATCAGCAAAAGGCAGACTCGGGATGCTAAACTAAGGGAAATATTTAATATAAAAAGCAACAGGAAACCAGAGAAGGCTCTTGAGGAGGAAGACCTGTGATGGAGAAGAGGGTTCTGGCAGCCACAGGCAGGAGGTCTACCTCTTAGGGGCCTGTGAGGAGCTGCTGCCCCAAGGACAGGCCAGTTGTAAGAGTGAGCATCTCCAGGGACCATGCTGCACCTTTTAACCAGTGTCTTATGCATATGATGTCCTTTTTAAGGCAAGCCCAGGGCTGGCAGAAAGCAATGGTGAGGCAAGTCCCCTGATGGACAGGTAGCTTGGTGCAACAGAAGTAGAGGCCCCATCACTCACAGCTGTGTGATTTGGGGTAGATTATTTAACTTCTCAGCATCTATCTCCTCCTCAACCATAAATATGCGATGAGAAAATTCTACCTACTTATGAGAATAGAGTGTGAGGTGGAGATTCCTGAGGCGGGGTCTCTGTCATCACAGTCAGAACAGGCAAGAAGGAAAAGAAGCAAGCATCTGAACAGGTGGGCTTCAGAGGAACCTGAAGAATAGTCCTCTGCCTGTGGTGTCAGGAATCCATACGGTTAGGTCAGGTGGGTGAGGGACGGGATGCCTGAAAATCCCTCTCTTCCCAAAAACAAACACAGGGCACTGGCAGCAAATGACGCAGAGAGGCCAAGGTTGGCTCTGGGTTAGGGAAGATGAGAGCTCCCATCTTCAGCTTCACAAGGGTTACTGTGAGGCCCAGAAGAGGCCTGAAGCAAGAGGTCAGACACCCCCTCCGAAGGAGTCATGGCAGTGGGGTGACTCACAGAGAGTCAGAAGGACTCATGGCAGCGTGGGGCCTCAGGGAGAGGCAGCAACTTCTGAGGAGGAAATTGGCTCAGAGCCAAGAGTAAGAAGCTTTCCTGGTAGAGGTCCTTTGGTCTATCACTTAACCTGGCTTCATTCTTGAAATAGGAATAATTTTTCATATTTTCTTAGCTTGTATTATTCAACAGAGACCCTTAGAAAAATTCTACCTTGCCATAGTGCTTCTCTGCATTTATCTTCAAGCCTGAATCTTGTTTCTAGCCTGTCAACTCCCCGATGGTAGAAACCACGTATCATCCATCTGTGCCCTTGCAGTACTCAGCATGGCATGCCTGGCACACAGAGAGGATTCCTCTGCCTGGAATGCTCTTCCCTTCCATAGCCACACAGGCCTTTCCCTCCAAGTCAAGGACCTGCCTGAATGTCAGCTTTTCCACAGGCCAACTCAATCCCCACATACCTCCATTTAAAACTGCAACTCCCCAACCCTTATCCTGCCCTTTCCCTCCTCCAGTTTGGATCGCCTTTTACATACTATATACTTACTATATTTACTGTATTTCTTGCTAGTTCTCCTTCATCAGGACAGGACTTAAGTCGGTTTGGCTTTACTGATGTTTCCAGGGCTAGCATACTGCCTTGTACAAAGTACAAAGTTAATAAATATGCACTGAATGAATGATAATCCCAGTATAGCTTTCAAGGGTAGCAGATCACTCCTTCATTATTACTTTCTGGTCCTAGAAAAATGCACATTATATTAAGTGTCCAAAAGGAAAGTAACTATCATTTCAGAGTCTACACCTCTGAGCCCCAAGTGTTGATAGCAACAAATTTTAAAGAAAATAATCTAGAATGAACAGCATGTATGCTTCGTGCCAAAGTCTGGCTTATCTCTTTTAATCAATTGATTAGCTATTGACTGGATAACACAGACTTCTCTAGCAGAGGAAAGATAAGATTCATTAGCTGTCATTAACCTAAGCTAGTGAGATAACAAGTACTATTGGCCAGTGCAGTGGCTCACACCTATAATCTCAACACTTTGGGAGGCCGAGGCGGGTGGATCACGAGGTCAGGAGTTGGAGACTAGCCTGACCAACATGGTGAAATGCTGTCTCTACTAAATTAGCCAGGCGTGGTGGCACATGCCTGTAATCCCAGCTACTAAGGAGGCTGAGGCAGGAGAACGCTTGAACCTGGGAGGCGGAGGTTGCAGTGAGCCGAGATGGCGCCACTGCACTCCAGCCTGGGCAACAAGAGCAAAACATCTCAAAACAACAACAACAACAAAAACAAAAACCAAGTACTATTAACATCTCCTACAACTCTTGGTTTCCCCAAACCAAGGGAAAAGATCGACTACCATTAAAAGCAACCAGAGACAAGTGAAGGGAGAGGAATTGGGCCTCTTTGCATGCATTTCTGATTTCTCTTGTTTAAATGCCTGTAACTTTTTCTTTTCTTTTTTTTTTTGCAGTTAAATGTTTAAGCTGAATACCAAAGGAAGGATGTTTCAAATAAATCATGCCACAACTAGGCAGGCAACTACACTTAAACTCTCCATTAGATTTTACCCTGAAGCAAATTCTTAGTCTACTTCTTTGTAACCATCCTCATGGTGCTGCAAGCAGGACAGAAGACAATAAGGGGGGGAATTCATGATACAGACTGAATATGAAACGAGAAACTGAACCCTTAATAATTTAAAATACTATAGGCAAAAGCAGACTTCATGATATTAAAGGATATCTAATTCCAATTTGTGAAAAAGACACTGAATCATCAGATTTTACATTGGGAGCAGCTCTTAAAGATTACCTCATTCCCCCAAACCCCCTCATTCTCTGTCTCATTTTGCAGATGAGAAACCTGGGGTGAGAGGTAAAGTGATCTGTCTGAGGCTCTCATGTCCAGTGAGGGAGCTGAAACTACAGTTCAGGCCTCATTGCTATTTTCACTATGCTTTGCTGTCTACTGTTTTTATTTGTGTAATTTTAAACTAGATTTGGGGTCCACTCTTGCCCCTGCCCCCACAAGCCCCATATCAGCAATGGCTGATCTCTTAATTTGAGTTAGGGAGATTTATTACCTAGAAATAATGACCTCTGTGCTCTTAGGAGAAAAGGTTAAATAAATTAAGAAGATATTGAGGCGGGCAGATCACCAACGGTCAGGATTTCAAGACCAGCCTGGCCAACATGGTAAAACCCCATCTCTACTAAAAATACAAAAATTAGCTGGACGTGGTGGTGCATGCCTGTAATCCCAGCTACTTGTGGGGCTGAGGTAGGAGAATCACTTGAACCCAGGAGGCGGAGGTTGCAGTGAGCCGAAATCGTGCCATTGTACTCCAGCCCAGGCAACAAGAGCAAAACTTGGTGTCCAAAAAAAAAAAAAAAGAAAAAGATAAAGTTGTACTGACCATGCCATAGTATTCTTAATACCTTAAAGGAAGGGTTCTGTGCATGCTCTCTCATTAGAAACTTAACTAAGATGACCACACATTAATCAGCAAATCCAAACTCCCCACTCTTATATCCACAGTAGATTTTCCCTACCTATCTCAGCTTTTAGCTTGATATACCCTAAATTGACCCCTGTGTTCTAATCAGGTCAATATTCTCCTTTCTAATTTAATTTTTACCTCTGTGATTTTTATCCATAGCATTTGTTTATTAAAATGCTTTCTCCAGTTTTCTGCCAATTTGCAATTGTCTCTTATGTTCACAATGTTTCAAAATTTGCCTTCTCACCATACCCTGCCCTCATTTAACCCTACAGAGCCCACATTGCTCCTTTAGGCCCCAAACTTCCAGAACATGAATTTACTATATCCAATAATAATGCCTTACTTATCTGGAGGCCAATCTGCTAAACAATTTCAACTATCCAGAGCACAGCCAAGAACCAGAAATAAGCAAAAATCCTCTCACTCCTAGTACTGAAAAAACAATGTGAGGTTCAAGTAACTTTAAAACTGACAGGCAAGGACAACTTACCCACTAGACACAGTGCCCAGAGCCTATGAAACTTTGAGGAACCCATGAAAGTATTATTCTAATTTCTTTTAAAATCAGGCCAGGCCTGTAATCCCAGCACTTTGGGAGGCTGAGGAGGGCGGATCACTTGAGGCCAGGAGTTTGAGACCAGTCTGGCCAATATGGTGAAACCTCATCTCTGCTAAAAATACAAAAAATTATCTGGGTGTGGTGGTGTGCGCCTGTAGTCCCAGCTACTTGGGAGGCTGAGGCATGAGAATTGCTTGAACCCGGGAGGCAGAGGTTGCAGTGAGTTGAGATCGCGCCACTGCACTCCTGGAAAAAAAAAAATCAGAAAAAAAGAACTTTTTGGTGGAAGAAAATATTAATATAGTAATATATTCAGCTTTGTACCAACAGGTGGAAAATTTATTTTTTTTTTTAGTAGAGGAAGGGGCCCACAGGAGTCAAAATGGGGCCTTGCTCTCTGGAAGGCCTCTCCAGCTCTCACTGCAGCCCAGTTTTATGTTTTTGTGTTTTTTTCGAGACAAGGTCTCACTCTGGTTGCCCAGGCTGGAGTGCAGTTGCATGATCTCCACTCACTGCAGCCTCGACCTCCTGGGCTCAGGTGATTCTCCCACTTCAGCCTCCCGAGTAGCTGGAATTACAGGTGTGCACCACCATGCTTGGCTTTTTTTTTTTTTTTTTTTTTTTGAGACAGAGTCTCGCTCTGTTGCCCAGGCTGGAGTGCAGTGGCGCGATCTCGGCTCGCTGCAACCTCCACCTCCTGGGTTCAAGCGATTCTCCTGCCTCAGCCTCCTGAGTAGCTGGGACTACAGACGCCTGTCACCATGCCTGGCTAATTTTTGTATTTTTAGTAGAGGCGGGGGTTTCACCATACTGGCCAGGCTGGTCTCGAACTCCTGACCTTGAATGATCCACCTACCTTGGCCTCCCAAAGTGCTGGGATTACGGGTGTGAGCCACCGTGCCTGGACTTTTTTGTATTTTTAGTAGAGATGGGGTTTTGCCATATTGCCCAGGCTGGTCTAGAAGTCCTGGACTCAAGCGATCCTCCTGCCTTGGCCTCCCAAAGTGCTGGGATTACGGGTGTGAGCCACCGTGCCTGGACTTTTTTGTATTTTTAGTAGAGATGGGGTTTTGCCATATTGCCCAGGCTGGTCTAGAAGTCCTGGACTCAAGTGATCCTCCTGCCTTGGCCTCCCAAAGTGCTGGGATTATAGGCGTAAGCCACTGCGCCCAACCACAGTTTAGTTCTCTTACTGTATGAACAGCTCATGAATCCTGGTGGTTGCCTGCCTTAATTTATAGCAGATGAAAGCAGCACACTGGAAAAAGGAGTCATCAGAGGCAGGCCAGCTGACACAACTCACTTGGATTCTGCAAGTAACAGCTGATAGCAAAACCACTAAAAAAAGAAAAGGTACAAAAAACTCAACAAACAGGGCACACCGTATCTACCTAACAGGCACCAGGACGGAATCCTGTATATTCCAACAGTTCCTGCTGAGTCCCACCCATGAAAATACTGACCCATCAATTATGGTTTGTTATGATGGTCCTTATTCATTAACATAGAGTTTATTATACTTTGCTTCAGACACTAAGAATGTATGTAGCAATTTTTTTCCTCTTAAAAAAGGCTAAAGTATAATAATTGATATTTAAAGAGGTTAAGCTTCAGTCACTTAGAAAAAATGAAGCCTATAATTTCTTATGAATTTCTATTCTTCCCTCCAGTGAAACTATGCCATATGAAGCCTAAGATAAGTACACAGAACATATCCTCAAATTCTCAAGTATCATATTGTACGTTAATTAAAAAAATTTAGGCTGGGTGTAATGGCTCACACCTGTAATCCCAGCACTCTGGGAAGCTGAGGTGGGTGGACTGCTTGAGCCCAGGAGTTTGAGACCAGCCTGGGTAACATGGCAAAACCCTGTCTATACAAAAAATATAAAGATTAGTCAGGTGTGGTGGTGTGCACCTGTTGTCCCAGCTACTCCAGGGGCTGAGGCGGGAGGATCAATTGAGCCCAGGAGGTAAAGGCTGCAGTGATTGAGACTGCGTCACTGCACTCCACCCTGGGCAACACAGCAAGATCCTATCTCTAATAATAATAATAATAATAATAATAATATGCTAATTTTAGCATACATAAATCCTTCACCTTCTCTCTCCATTGCTGCAGCGCTTGAATTCCTTAGCATGGCACAATGGCCCTGACTAAATCTCCCTTTTACTCATCTTTCAAGACCAGGATCCGAAACTACTATTTGTGAATGATTTGCACATCTTCTCAGGTAAAATGGACCACACTTTCCTTTATGTTCCACTGGAACCACGTAACATATAAAACCTAACTCTATGCATCATGTTTTCACATCTTTCTCCCACCCTGGATTGTGACAGGGACACCAGTTAGCTTCTGCATGGATCAGAAAACACACACACACACACACACACACACACGCACACACACCCTAGGTGAACAAATTAGAAAAAAGCAATCATCTGGGTGAGTGCGGCCACCCTTGCTTCCTTCCCCAAGCCCCAGCACCTCGTATGAGCTAAAAGGCACCCTCTTCCTCTTGTTCAGCGTTAGGGTTGCTAGAGAAATACCTGAGTATAAGTCTGACCAAAATATGGGATATGCTGATGCTAAAAAATTATGTGATGTTTTTCTGAAATTTAAATTTAACTAAGTATCCTATATTCCTATCTGCTAAATCTGGTAACCTTACTCAGGGCAGATTCAGTCCCAAACCAGGGTGGACTCCTTGGTGGGCAGCATGTGGGCTGGATGTTAACCTTCATTTGCTACTTGACCTGTGCCCACCTTGTGCACAAACTTCACAATTGAACAGTGTTCTTGGACTATGAGCCATCTGAGGGCAGGTACAATGTCTTATTCATCTTTTTATCTCTATACTGAGAAGGATTTCTTAAATGTACATCTAATAAAAGCAGATGTTCCTTAAAGAAATGTTTTAAACTTCTATGTCAAAAGAAATATTTTTGGTGAAAAAGAAACTTCCGATCTCCTTTCAATGAAGCTTAAGACAATCGTTACCATCTACCTTGGTCAACTTTAGTCACACTGGCATTCAACCATGGTAAGTTTAGATGGGGAGCATGGCACTGAGCCAAGTGCCAGGTGGGTTTCCCAGGACAACTGTGAGAGTTAGGAGGCACTTGCACACTTTTACTCCAAAACCCACAGCATATTTCAGATATTCAATTAAATCTTAAGTCATAAAAAGAACAAGGTTAAAAATATATTATACATAGACAAGCTTAGATACAAAGGTAGTCTCATTTAACCCTAGTGGTTAGCAGCAAATTAGTACCAAAGCAATGGAATTAAGGAATTTTTGACAGTTATACTGCTAAGTTAAAAATAATTGTATACACATTTTTTATTTTTTCCTGATTATCAAAGTAACATATGCTTATTGTAGAAAATCTATAAAGTACAGGAAACAATAAAGCAAAATAAAAAAGAAATCACCTATAATCCTACCATCCAAGATTAACAGGGTAAGGAGTAGAGGGAGGGCCAGGGCTTCTGGCCATTGTGAGATCCCCAAGGACACAGGAAATCTCCAAAGATCTGCATTCTTGTTTCTGGGACAGAAAGGTAGGAAAGAAACTGTGAAGCACCACTTTGTTGCACCATGAGTTAGGAGAAAAGGGGAACTTCAGCCACAAGCAACAGGTGGTGGCAGGGAAAGGAAGCAGGTGGGCCAGTCCCTGGAGGCTGAAGACAAGTGTGACCTGGTGGTGGCCTACTGATCTTGGCAATTCCTGTCTCCACTTCCTACTTCTTTCTACAACAGGAATCCCTAATCCCCAGACAAGAGTATTTGTCTTAGGATGTAGGAAGCTTCTAAATTTCAGTGAATGAGAGATGGGGAAGCAGGTTTCTTTTCCCAGTACTGCAAATGAGGGAAGTTGGGTTCAGGCATTCCAAAGTGGGAGCTCTGAACTCACTTCCTATGGAAACTTCCTCTATATAGCAGTTATTATACGTTCTTCAGTTTTCCTATCTTACAAGCTGAAAAGGTTCTGTGGACTATCCAAAGGCAATTCTTTTTTTGAGACAGAGTCTCACTCCATCCACCCAGGATGGAGTGCAGTGGTACAATCTCAGCTCACTGCAAACTCCGCCTCCTGGGTTCAAGCAATTCTCCTGCCTCAGCTTCCCGAGTCGCTGGGATTACAGGTGCACACCACCACGTCGAGCTAATTTTTGTATTTTTAGTAGAGATCGGGTTTCACTATGTTGGCCATGCTGGTTTTGAACTCCTGACCTCAAATGATCCACCTGTCTCAGCCTCCCAAAGTGCTGGGATTACAGGCATGAGCCACTGCGCCTGGACAGCTCATGTAGTCCACCAGTTTACAAAGGGCTTCACTACACATTATCTTAGCTGACCCTCAACAGAGTAGGTAACACATGAGGAATTATCTCTATTTTACAGATGAAGAAATAGACACCAAGAAATTAAGGGACGTTCAAGGCTATAATGCCAGATGATATCTGAGCTAAGACATAGGTTTCTTTTTTTTTTTTTTAAACCTCAAGTTCAATACAAAGAGTAAGTTCTACAGAAAGGGTGCTCTTAACTAGAGTCATGGCACCCATGGACTACTACGACGTTATAATCCCCACCTTTCAAAAGCTAATGTAATGCCACAGTAACTTATTTAAGGCAATGGATCTGGAAGAATACATTCTAGCAATGAAAAAATATTTCGTCTCAACACTATTAGCATTTCTCTGATGATTAAAATTTAGATATTTAATTTTGAGTTATCAGAAAATGGCATATATATCTTATAATTTATTCTGGTATTAATATCTACTATAGATGTGCTCTACCAAAACCAAAACAAAACCCTATTTTGAAAATTTGATTTTATTCAGCAGATATCTGTAGCAATGTTTTATAAAATAATTTACTTCACTGTTTTTTGTTGGTTTTGTTTTTAGAGACAGAGTCTTGCTCTATCACTCAGGCTAGAGTGCGGTGGTAAGAATCAGCTTCCTGCGGTCTTGAACTCATGGGCTCAAGCGATCCTCCTGCCTCAGCCTCCTGAATAGCTGGGTCTACGGATGCTCACCACCACATTCGACTAACTTTTTTTTGTAAAGACTGGTCTTACTATGTTGCCTAGGCTGGTCTCGAACTCCTGGCCTTAAGCAATCTTCCTGCCTTAGCCTCTCAAAGTGCTAGGATTACAGGCGTGAGCCACAATGTCTGGCCTATTTCACTGTTTTTGATACATTTGAAATTAATCTACATATATATGTACTATATATATATGTTCTTTAATACTGTCTATCTATGTAGTCCACAGGTTTACAAAGGGCTTCACTAGGCATTATCTTAGTTGATCACTATACATTCACTATACATTATCTTTCTGTCCAGAAAACAAGAACACAGATCTCTGGAAATTTCCTTTGTCCTCAGAGATATGTATATATACACACACACATGTTCAATCTACAAAGGACTTTCCAAGAAAATCTACTATACTAAGCAAAGTATACCTAAAGAGAATATTATAAATATAGTAGGTATCTAATGTCACTGACTTACTAAGCAGGCCACTAAACTGTCAAGCATCATTTTTTTTTTTAGATAAAAGAAATGAAGCCCAATGCAAAAGTCACCACATCAGTGGATTAAAATTAATGTGTCTGGCAAAATGACTAAGCCTCTTTCCTAAAGTGGTTATATATCTTATTGAGTCATATCATAGTCATTAGCCAGAGTTAATTTTGAACAAATAGATGGAGAGATACTCATGTTTAGGCCTGCATGATTTGGAGTCTCTTCCATTATCTGCTTATTTCACTAAAGCAACCCAAAGCCTAAAGAGTTGCTTAATATTATCAAGATACCAAGATGTCCTATAACCATATCTGAAGTAAGACTGCTAAGATGTCATGTAAGGACTACATGAAAGCAATGTTGTCTAGAGACTGCTGATGTTAAAAACAAAACTCATGCAGAAACAAGTGTGTCTACCCAAGTCCCCATCCTGAGAATGCTGACAGTTTCTTATTGGTCCACACCTTAGGTCCTCCAAGCTTTAAGCTGTATTTCTCTCTTATTAGGTAATATTCCTAGGTGTCAGAGCAGCGAGGAAGTTACTATTCTCAACAACATCATAAAATTTAGCCAGAACACTAATAACTGTTAGGTCTGAGTTCTACTTCAGTAATACTGCTATGACGTTGGAGTGGTAATTCTTCTTTTGTAAAAGTTTAAAGTTTCCAAAGAGTTTTCCAATCGTTGAGCTTCAAATGAGTTATACCTGGACTAAGATATCAATTCCTGCCAGCTGTTGGGAAGGCTAGAGCCCTGGCCAGTTGTGAGTGGCCTCATCCACTTACCCAAGTGTATCATCAGATGTTATCATTTTGTATGCACCATAATCTAAAAAGGTTGGGAAGCACTGAACTGAGGAAGGATTGCTCCTCCATAAATTACGAGGCTACCCTGTTACATACAGATGAGGTTTTCCAATTTGATGCACAAAAGTGTCAAACCCAGCATTAAACAGTGAGGTTAATAGGCTTAACTACTCTCACACTTGTTGAGGAAACTGGGGAATCATGTCATTTTACAGCCCAAGGAGTTCCTTTTCAGACACTCTGTCTCCCAAAAAGAAAAAAAAAAGAAGGTGGCAGAAGAGATCTATGAGGAAAAATCAAGCCACTGGTCCTGCAGGCTGCAGGAAGAGTTACCTGGCCTTACCACTCACTACCGCTTCCTCCTTGACATTAAGACCAAGGCTTTCATCCTCCTGATCTTGAAAAGCACATTCCCCTCAACTTCCATAAATCTGCAAAACTTGAAAAGAGCCCCAGTGTCATCAAGTAAAAGAGACGGCGTTAGGAATCTCACTGGAAGGAGGGGTGTCTTCAAGCCTCTCACTGCTAAGCCGGACATTTCCTAACACTGGACAAATTGTACGTCCAGCTCAGGGAGGGTGAACTGCAGTGGTCTTTTACCCTCCAAGCCAATTGTTAGCTTTTCACAGGAATCAGCAGGGAAGCACATGTGAAACCTCTGTGTGACAGTGAGCACCCCCATGCCTTGTGTGACTCTGCATGTAGATGAAGCAGGCTGGGAGCTTTCTTAGCTGCTGCTGCTGAGTTCTCAGAGAAGCCCTTTTTTCCGGCTTGGCTCCCTGCTGGGACAGCCCTTTTCAATTTTTCTATCCCCTCTCGATCTCTTCTCCTGCAGAACACAGGGAAACTTGATTGAAATAAAGACCTAGGGAACATGTTTTATTTTCTCCTGTTCAATCCATTTTAGAAAAGCTTTTAATTGGTTTTAAAAAGATGCTAAACAAAATGTGATGATGTTTTTCACTCTTCACGAACTGCAGATACCACTTTTTATACTTTCAAAGGGCTAATAAATCAATCATGAAATTAACTCTGCAGCTAAATTTAAAGCAAATCCACTGAATACCAGGTTCATTAAAAATCTATGCATTTACTTAGAAAAATTTAAAATTCAAAGAAAATTATCCTAGTAACTGAAATCTGACTTGAATTTTTAGTTCTACACTGAAAATCCAAGACCAAGGCAATCACAAAGGGAAAAAAGGAGGGCTTGGGAACCAGTTTTAATAAGCCAATTTACAAGAAGGGAGGGGGTGGTGGGGGAGGGGTGGAAGGAGAAAAGAGAATATCTGGATACATAACAACATAGTGCCCCTGAAGGGATTCTTTTATTTGAGCACGTGCACACATGCACACACAATTTTTCTGTGTGAAAGCTGGAAATACAACAAATGCAAAATTGAGGATTCTGTGACTGATATGATTACTGTAGTGTATATAAGTATAGTTCCTCCTTTTAAAGAAAAATGCTCACAACTTTTGTTTTCTTACCAGTAATAAATATTTTTCTATCACTCTATGCATTTCTACAATATTTAGCTGAATATACCTTTAATATTTAATTAAAAACATCTGAAAAAACTATATGCTAATGGTTTGACAAAGTGAATGCTTCCATTTTACAATGACTAATATTCTTAACACTTGGATCAGCCTGAAAATTTCCCCTTATTTTCTTGAGAGAATATAAACATTTTAAAAAGCAAGGTGGTATGACAAAGCACATTTTTATTTTGTTAAATACATGCCAACTAGAAATACTACAAATATTAATTTATCCTGTCACTGATTCATGTATACTGCAGGTAATCTGGCAGTCCAGGTCAGAGTCACCAAATTCAGATTAATGACCAGATGGTATTCCCTTCAGAGAGAACCCCTGCCATTTCCAATCACTAAGGCAACCACATCTCTTACTTCTTACATATTTCTATATTCTTCCTCTTCAGTCCTTAGATAAATTCACTCCATGTTCTTTTCAAATGATCCAATTCCTCTTTCTCCCAAGCTGGGCCACGTACCTTGGATGCTCACCCCTCACTTCTAACTCTATGTCTCCTTTCATCATTTAAGTAGCTTCTAAACCACTTCTAAAAAATGTAATCGCTTGAGATATGGTTCACAGAGCACACAGTTTACCCATTTAAAGTGTACAATTCAGTATTTTAGTATATTCACAGATATACACAACACCACCAAAATCAATTTTAGAGCATTTCTATCACCCCAAAAAGAAACCCCATACCCATTAGCAGTGACCCTCTCACTCTTCTCATTCTCCCCTCCCAGCCCTAGGCCATCCCAAATATATTTTCTGTCTTTATAGATCTGCCAGTCCTGGACATTTCATGTAACTGGAATCATCCAATATGTGGTCTTTTTGACTGGCTCCTTTTGCTTAGCATGTTTTCAAAGTTCATTCATGTTGTAGTATGTAATGGTACTACTTTTTTTTATTGCTGAGTAATATTCCATTATATGGATATACTAGATTTTATCAGATAAATGTTTAGTTATGAATAATGCTGCTATGAATACTCACATACAAGCTTTCATGTGGACATATGTTTTTCATTGCTTGTAGGTGTATACTTGGTGGAATAGCTGGGTTATATGGTAACTCTATGCTTAACCTCTTGAGGAACATTCTTACCAGCAGTGCATACAGGTTCCAATTTCTCCACATCTGCACCAGCGCTTGTCATTACCTGACTTTTTGATGATAGCCATTCTAGCAGGTATGCAATGAGTGGTATCTCACTATTGGTTCTGACTTGCATTTCTCTGATGACTAATGATGTTGAGTACCTCTTCTTATACTTGTTGGCCATTTGAACTTTACTTATTTTTGAATGTTTTCACTCTTATCATATCCTGTCTAAATATAAACTCCAGCAATATGAAAACACTTGAGCCCACTAAAATGAAAAGACACTGAAAAATTTTTTTTTGTTGATAAGGTATTTGTGAAGCATGTACGTATAAGCCTCTATGCCATTGGCTGTGAGATTTAAAAGCATAAGATAATGTTCCTTCCCTCAAAAATCTTACAATAAGTTTTACAACACAGAAACAATTATTCTTAAATCTTAGTGTGGCAGATCATTCGTTAATAGTTTCTGTTTATTTCTGTTAGTATCTACTTTGGATCACAAATGCTTCTCAGCCAAGGGGGTGTACCTCTGTTTAAATCAATGTGTATAGTATTTAACAATGTAAAGAACAAGAAGTATAAGATAGCACTGAAGTTAATCTTCCTTCTCCCAAGTGACTTTTAGCATAAATTATTTTCAGCTAAAAAAGAAGAACTATTTTAAGAGATAAATTTAAATGCCTAGAAAAAGTCTCACATTCTAATAGTTTTTATAATTAATATGCTGACATAAAGTTTTTTTGTGTGCATAATATATGTAGATGTTGGGGGTAATTATTTCTGTTTCAGCAACTTTAGATATATACGTTTACTTATTTATGAAAACATTGGAGGAATCATGATATATGTAGATAATTATTTCTGTTTCAGCAACTTTAGATATATACGTTTACTTACTTAAGAAAATATTGCAGGAATCAGAGAAAGGGAAAATACACTCACCTCTCTAACTTCACCCTTAGTATAAGCTAAGACTCCAATTACTAGGAATGATGGTTTATGAAAAGCTGATTTAAAAATCCTTCCACAGTACACATATGTTGCAAATCTTCAAGACTATTATAGGTTATGTTTCTTTTCATTATTTTAGAAGTTAAAAAAAAACTCCAGAAAAACCAAGACAAGTCATTTACTTTTAAGTGCAAAATACACGCACATATATAACTGTTAAATTAAAAATTAGATTCACCAGTTTAAGAGTAAATATTTTCCTTACAGATTAGTTTCTATCTCTAACTTTAAATATGAGATTCTCATACAGACATTAAGATGCTTTTCAAGTCAGTGCTTAACTGCTTTGTACCTGCCTTTGATTGGCATTTTTCAAGGTTACAGCATGCAGAATCAATCAAGAGAACTCATGTCTTGTGACACAGCCAAACATGCTCTGGCAGCCTCTACATAATTAACATATTTAACCAACCTTCATAGGTTGGTTTTAAATTTGTTAACCTACCAAAATCACAAGTCTCTAATAGCCACATCAGTAAAAATGCAAACACAGGAATCAAGATCCTGGCTATAAATTCACTCCTCAAAAGTGCCACATGACCCAAGAAAAATAACTCAAGATCATCTGTTAAAAATAGTTTTTTAACTGCCCAAAGAAAATAAACTTAAATATCCCCATAAACAAATTTTTAGGAAAACCCATGAAATTATAAATGAAACATATGGGAACATATTCAATGCCTTCTCTATTAATATCATAATCTCCCTTGGCAGTTGGAGGTAGTAGGGATATGTAATATGGTGGAAAACTTACAAAACAACAAAATACAATGCTAATTGTTGTATTCCACACAGAAACTGTGGGATTTTGATTTCTTCAGAAAAGGAATGGAAAAATTCTGTTGATAAAATAATTTACCTTAAACAGAAGTCAAGACTGGACGACCTTTCAAAATCCTTTCAACAACAGAATTTTATGTTTATGATAACCTGCTTATTTAAAGATTGTATCATTATATGCGATTTACTGAAAAACTCTTTGTTAAAATATTCCTTATTAGTAGTATTATTTTACCTGAGGAGGTGCCTTTTTCAGTAAAACGAGAAGAGCCTGTAATACAAGATTTGAAAATCGAGGGCCAATAGGGACGTAATCTGGAAAAGAAACATTATTATGTTTAGGGATTTGATACACATGTACATATTCCAAACATTCAGTTTTTGTTTTTTTTTTTTGCATCAAAAGTAAACACAGTCCCTACATAAGCAGAATATGTATAGAATAAGAAAAAAAAAATTTAAAGAGTAAACAGTCTTAAATAACAGTCATAAAACTATTTATAATAAGAAAAAATATCTCTAATAACCTAAATGCTTAAAATATAAGAACTCTTATCTGTAACTTTTTTTTTGAGACAGGGTCTTGCTATGTTGCCCAGGCTTGTCTTGAACTCCTGGGCTCAAGCAACCCTCCTGCCTAAGCCTCCCAGGTAGCTGGGATTATAGGTTGCCATAATCCCACTGTACTCGGCTCTATAAATTTTTTGAAAAAGCTTCTAAATATTCACTTTGAGTTCATGTAGATGTTTTTTCTGGGATTATTTTGGAAGGAAAAAAAAATTCCAGGTGTATTTACCAAGCATTTCTAAGAAGTTACTGCAAACCATGGCCATTCAGTACACTGATATTAAAACATGATGTTAGAAAATGGGCAAAGGGGAAAATAAGGAATTTCAATAAAACGGAAACAATGGCAGAACCACTAAGATTGGCCCTCAGATGGTAAGGAACAGATAACTTTCTAAGAGAACATCTGACCTGTTAAACATTTACCAATAATTCAAGATTCAGCGTAAATGCCACCTGCTTAGCTTTCTCTGCATACTGCATATGCACCTCTGCCCTGGGCTTAGAGCTACTCGCAGGCCCCCTGAGGTCAAAACTGATCCCTCCATTTTCAGACTATCCACCTGATGAGAACAGTGGGAGGGAAAATAAAAATAAAAAAAAAAACAGAATATCCAAAATACATGGCACATTCTACTTTGCATTAACATTTGCCAACATATGTTATAAAGACAGGCAGCAGCGTCTTTTTCTGAGACTCTAATACTTCTACCAGAGGAGGAAGGGCTCAGCAAGTGCTTATTGAATAAATGAGCAAGCATGCACAGATGATAACTATTCATACCAGTGAAATGTACTCAGAGGGCACACATTCCTGACATGGTAGTGTTGCTATGACCACACACCTCAATTGTGTTAAGATAAAGGAATTTACACAGAGCTATGAGTTTGTGCCTAAAAGCTTTTAAAGAAATCATCCCATAAACTGGGCTGAGATGTATCAAACCTAGCAGACCCAAAACCCACTATCAATTTATGGAGACCTCACAGATATACCTGCTTTGCTTTATAACAGACACTGCCAAAACTTAAAAAAATAAATAACAGAGGACCAAAAGCAGGTCTGAAAATCATGGGAAAAATGCAGTAAGAACAGTTAGCTTGAAATCACGACTACACCATTATGGACAGCTTAAAGAAGAAGGGATTATTCAGACACTGGGTAGTATTTTCAGATGTTATTAAGTCACCAGGTGGGTTTCCATTTCAATAGAGTGTATTACCCCTTCCTGAGCCATTGTTGTAATGAATTTATGTCAGACTGATTTAATTTTACAGTGAAATAAAATTAACAACTTTCTGGCCCTTCCTTGCAGTTTATTTCTTATGAGTTAAGTGCCAGGACCAAGTCTTCTTCATGTTTGTATTCTGTAGGAGTGCACTTCAACACAGGAGATATTTAATACATATTTTAAAAATTACTATACTGCACTTTTAACTTACAAAATTTTTTCAAGATTTATTATCCCATTTTTGTCTTCACAATTACTCTGTGGGATAAGCAAGAGAGGGATTATAGTCTCTGTTTTGTAAGAGCAGAAACTGAGGTGCAGAGAGCTTACAACTTCTGCCCTTAGTGTTTTAGTGAATTTGCAGATTTCTCTGTGATCCTAAACCCTTCTTTCATTAGTTCTGTCAAAGTTCACAAGTGAATTTCTGAGCTCAGAGGTCCTAAATAACAGATATACTCATCAATGAAAATTACTAATCATTTACTATGGCAAGGGCACACTGGAAGATACAAAATGAGACATGGGCCCTTACAAGAAAGCAGTTTATAATGGTGTTATAGTCACAGGGCATATTAAAATGAATACTATCATTGATGTCAGCTATTTAAGAGAGAACATTATATTTCCTTGTAAGACAAAGAAAGGTATTTCTATTGCTTTACAGTTTATAAATACTTGTTAATTTTCTCTTGTAACTTTTGAGATATTAGCTGTAATGTGGCAAAGATAATACAACAGCAGAAGTTAGGACTCACCAAGCAATCTCTCAATGTCATCCACAACCACACAACTGAGCTGGGATTTGTACGCATCATCAAAGATCTGAAAGAAAACAAAGTCATTTATTATCTCACTGTCCTCCACAGTTACGACAATTTCCAAGAAGTTTAGTTACTTCTTGAGCAATACTAAACAAAGCACAGGAAAACACCAACACTTTGGACTACAATAAATTAGAATTGACACACTGGATCACCGCTGAACAGAGAGCAGGCTAAGGCTGTTTTCAGCACTAACAGCTGTGTGTGTCACACCTGGGCAGGCTGGGGACTAGCTGATCATTAATCAACTGACACATCCCATCACTTCTATCACACTGGTCTCTGGTATCTGTGTCAGGAGCAGGACTTTAGTGTAATGACTCAAGAGCTAGATGGAGCCACAAGAGATGTGTAAAATAAAACTAGATGCCATTTTATTATCTATAAGAATTGTGGCTCTGTTAAGCAAAAGTAACACTGAAAGATCAGAATTCTGTCAACTCAAATCAGACCATAATGGTAAAAGAGCTTACAAAAGAATTAAAGGTTGAGTATGAAGGATCAGATAGATGTACGTATAAAACCAGACAAAAGATATGAATGCACTGTCTTAAGATGGTCAAGAAAATGAGAATGAAATTAAGCAGTGAAGGAACGGTTTTAGCCTGGCAAGGATGTAGTAATTTCAAATCAGATAGAAGAATTAGCTTATCTGCAAGTTGAATAGAAGTACTCAAGGCCTTGAGACTAGCCTTTTTGGAAATGAAGGTACTATTCCAGAGACTACAGGTGGGGCTCAGGAAATCTCATCAGTGTCATGAGTAAGAATTAGTTTCTGCATCCCAGCCCACTCTCTCTGGTTGGTAACCAACCTCAGCACACCAAGATAGTAAACCCGATCCCCACCCGCACCAACATCTTGCTTGGAATGGCATATATTCCTTCCTGGGTATCTTTTAACCATTGAAGACTTATAATTAGGTACAGAAATAAAGTCAAACTCATGATATTAACCATTTTTCATGTTAGGTTTAAAAACAACCTGTGTATACTTGGTTTTTAAAGTATTCCTAACAATTAAGTTACCATAATAGAGTCTCACTGTGACCATCTTGATTCAGTTCCTTCCTTACCTCTTTCCTGGCATAAATACTGACAATTTCTCCAGATATTTAATCAGGTCAACCCCTCTGGTGAAAACGTTTTCCTATGCACCATCCCTTTACCCCCTAATTACCCTCCCACACTCTGTCTAAACCCCATCTATCCTTTCGTCCTAAGCTATCTGTCTCCCCACTGGACTGTGAGGTGGATAAAAGCTTTATTCTGTTCATGTTATGTGTAGTGCCCAGCACAGAACAGAATTCAGTAATGATGTCTGCTCTGTAGGTTCAATGGTTGAAACAACACAAGTTCCAATTCCATCTTGCCATAAATCACTTGTCTTCTCCTTTGGCACAGGATTTTGTATATTACGTATATATATTATTGATTCATTGTACTATTTTTGTATTATACTAGATTGCAAGCCCTCAGATGGCAAGTGCTGTCTTAATTACCTCTGTATCCTCATATCATTTAATATAATGCCTTATTAGAGAGTAATTAAGAAGTATTTACTAAAAGAATAAATTTACACATTTTAAATTCAAGTAGAAATATTAAGTGAGAAGTTGGAGATATCTGATTGAAGTCAGGGAATGGAAATCACTCTCAGGGCAGTGACTGCTGAAACCATGACAGAGGAAGCCATCTTCAAGAAGAAATGGCAGAAGAAGAAGAAAAAAAGGCCTAAGGATTGAGTCTTGGAGTGCTGCCTTATTCATTCACTCACTCAACAAATATTTTTGAATTCTTATTATGTATCAAGCATTAATGAAGGCACTGCAGAGGATAATAAATAAGACAAAAATAATCCTACTTTCACAAAAGTTAGAGTTGGGGAAGCAAGTCACATGTAATTATAACAAAGCATGACATTATTAGGCTAGGGGAAATACAAGATGATACGGGGGCACAGGGTAGGCAGTATTTCCCCAGTGCCTTGGAAGTTAGGCATAACTATGGGGCTTGCTTTGGTTAATGAAATATGAGGGGAAATACACCCCTTTCTGAAAGAAGCCTTAGGAGTCACTGCATGATTCACCATACTCCTTTCCCTGCCTTGGCTATCATGGAATCAGATGTAAGGTGGGGCCTCTATTATCTATTAGCTTGAGTCTCTGAGAAAATATAATGAACAGAACTCACTGTCTGAGCCATGACGGAGATATAGTAGTGTAAATAAAAAATAAACTTTGTTGTGTTAAGCCACTGAGATTTTCGGGTTGTCCTTTCATGCAGCATAACTCAGCCTATCTTGACTCTTAAATGGACTTAGGGAGTCAGGACAGTTTCCTAAATTTAGGAAGTGACACTTAACCTGAGACTTGAAGCATGAACAACAGTTAACCAGTGGAAAGGGTGGAAGAAAGTGTTCTAAGCAGAATATACTGAAAATTAGGAGACACAGAGATGTGAACATTCAGGAACACTGCAGGAACGGTCAATAAGAATTAAAATAAAGTGGTGTTGGTGTCAATGCAGTGGAGTGGTAGGTGAGATGAATTAGAAGAGGTGATGAAGGAACTTGGACATAAAGAGTCTTACAAATTTCATGAGTTAAAATTTTACTGTAAAGGCAATAACAAGCCACTAAAGGGTTATAAGCAATGGACTGACATGTCAGGCTTATGTTTTAGAAACATTTTCCTGATTGTATAGAAAAGCATTAGAGGGGAATAATAGTTAATTGAGATTGTGGAGTTCTAGGTGAGAAATGATGGTGGCCAGGGAGTGGGTGTGCTGGTAAGTGGACAGAATCTAGAGATGTTTAGGAGGAGGAACTGAAAGAACTTGGTGAATGAATGGGTGTGGTGATGAAAGAGAAAACTGGAGTCAAGGATCTGTCCTGATTTGGCAACTGAAATAAAACACAGAGGTGAAGCTGGTTTGAAAATGGATCATGAGTACATTTAAAGAGCAAGAAGAGAAGGGCCTTTTATCTTCTCCTCCCCAAACACAGAAAAAGAGAAAATGAGAATAGGATATTTATTTCAGTCTCTTGATACACAATGATGGTTCCTTTTGGCTTTGAGTTGGTACATTCGAGACAACTGAAAAGCTCAGAAGCAGTTCTACAGCGGTTCTTTGCTACTTTTTTTGAAGATGGAACCGCAGCCAATGTGGTATCTTATAAACTCAGGTAATTTTAAGGAATCACTGAAAATAATGCTTTGCTTTTCAAAACATTTTTCAGAATTCTACTAAAAGCTCTGATGCCAGCATATAACTCTGACCATCAGGCTGTGAGATCATGGATTAGAGCCACAGGGACCTGGAACACCACAGCCTGGCTGGTTGCAGTAGTTCTATGTTTTTCCTTCTCAAAACAATGTACAGCTTATATGGCTGCAAGGACCTTACTCAGGACATTGCTTAGGTCTAAACTAATGATGACTTGCTACATGGTATGTAGTCTCACCAACTTATCTCAGACACTGTAATTCACAAAGCATTCCAAATCACTTCACAGTTGACTGCATGGCCTACACATAACATTTGAGAGGAAAAATACCTGCAGCAGTCACTTAATATCAAGTAGTGACGTTCTTGTTTTTTGCAGTCGGTCTCTGTGCTAATTACTATCAGAGGGAGAGGTGCACTCACAGCAAGCTCTATTAACACACCGACCATGACGAAGGCTGTGCAATTCCAGTTGTAACTTGACTAGTTTCAGGTAACCAGTCAACTGAAACTCCTCCGGGTAGCTACTCTGCTCTAATTTAAATACATACATACACACACATCCCTTTCTCTTCTCACACGTACATTTTCTTCCTTATCTAGTCACTAGTGTAACCTGTGCTCATAACTCTTCCCAGGATCCACGATTTCTGCCTAGTCTCCTCAGTCCCTTAGTCCCTTTCACCCTTTCTGGCCCAGGCCCCAGCAGAATTCTCACTAAGAAGATACTCAGAGTTGGCTGGCAAGTACGTGAGGTTAGCTGCCACAGGAAAATCCAAGTGAGATATTTACATACTAAGCCGGGAAGCTGCACCACAACTTTAGGTAGATAAATCCCAGCAGGAGGAGAGGTACTGGAAAGAAAGATGCGAGAAAAGTAAAATTGTACAAACTGCCCTAGCCAGACTAGTACAACTGAAGTGCCAAACTCACCGTGAGTTATAGCACACAGCAGGTCACACAGTGCTTGCTCTAGATCCAAAGATGCCCCAACACAGAAGATGCCAGGAGGACTGAGGCTGGAGGTAAGAAGGTAAGAACCGTATCTTACAGACTCCCCCCAAAATTAATCTTAAGAATGTAGGGATTTTGACGTGCTCTCGCGAGATTTGGGTCTCTTCCTAAGCAGGCGCTGCAAGTTCTCCCAGGAGAAAGCCATGTTCAGTTCGAGCGCCAAGATCGTGAAGCCCAATGGCGAGAAGCCGGACGAGTTCGAGTCCGGCCATCTCCCAGGCTCTTCTGGAGCTGGAGATGAACTCGGACCTCAAGGCTCAGCTCAGGGAGCTGAATATTACGGCAGCCAAGGAAACTGAAGTTGGTGGTGGTCGGAAAGCTATCATAATCTTTGTTCCCGTTCCTCAACTGAAATCTTTCCAGAAAATCCAAGTCCGGCTAGTACGCGAATTGGAGAAAAAGTTCAGTGGGAAGCATGTCGTCTTTATCGCTCAGAGGAGAATTCTGCCTAAGCCAACTCGAAAAAGCCGTACAAAAAATAAGCAAAAGTGTCCCAGGAGCCGTACTCTGACAGCTGTGCACGATGCCTTCCTTGAGGACTTGGTCTTCCCAAGCGAAATTGTGGGCAAGAGAATCCCCGTCAAACTAGATAGCAGCCGGCTCATAAAGGTTCATTTGGACAAAGCACAGCAGAACAATGTGGAACACAAGGTTGAAACTTTTTCTGGTGTCTATAAGAAGCTCACGGGCAAGGATGTTAATTTTGAATTCCCAGAGTTTCAATTGTAAACAAAAATGGCTAAATAAAAAGTATATATTCACACACACACAGAAAAAGAATGTATAGTCAGCCCAGTTCTATTATGAAGTTTCCTGTAGAACAGGTAAAATTATCAACATACATATATAGGGTCTTAAAGTTAGGAGGGAAGTCTGAAAGAGAAGGCTAAAGAAAAAACAGGAAGAACTGAAGAAGGAAACAATGTGGGAAAGAGTGGCATCAGTCAGCCTGTGTCTCATGAAATAACGGGAAGTCTACTCTAAAGGAAGGAAGAGCAGCTCTAGAAAACACAGAAGCCCGTTATGTCCACCTGTGCACATAATGAGATTGTCATATTAAACTGTAACCTCTCTTGCATGCAAAGGTGGAGGTACGACACAGGCTGGAGGGGTATGAGAGACAACCCAGAGTGTGGGGAGCCTGGGCTTAAGGCAAGAGTGTGCCACATGCACTCCGTGAGCACTGAGGGACAGGAGAAGCGGGGCTCTGCCACGCAGGGATTAGGGGCAGGTCTGAATGTGGTGCTCAAGGACACGGCAAGCTCTTAAGTCCCAGAGCCCACTCCTGGGATCTTCAGACAACTGGGGAGCCACCTGTGTGTGGGACAGGGGCAGCAGCTACGGGCTCCAGAGTCTACACAAGTGCAAATGGGAGCACACCAGCATTAGTTCCATTAATCCCAGCCTTTCGGGATCACAAGCCACAACAAGCATGCTCTCAGGAGATTCAGCCCTCCATCCTCTGGGACCTCCTTAGTGCCCTTAGGTAAGCAAAGCCAAACACTCTGGTTCTTCTGGGAGCTGAAAGAGTTCATCTCAGTTCTGAAGTACTTGGCGTGAAGTACCTAGTTAGTAGAAATCTGATGACTGTAGGAATCTCATAGCTTAGAAAATCCCTAATGCAGTAAATCTGTCAGCGATTAGTTAAAAGCATACTCTAATCATATTTGGTAGCATATAAAAACGTAAATGAGCAAATTCAAATGGGTGCTATCAGTAATAATCTCGTTTCTAAAAATAACTTGGGAGTAGACCAAACAAACATTAGCTGTCTGCTAATGAAACTGCCTCAGGAAGTGGACCTAAACTTTTGGCAAAGCTCTAAAGCTTCCTGGAATGACCTTAAAATCCTTTATTTGTTCTCCCTGCTTTTCAGGAAAAAATCTTACATTTTCTCATATCGTGAGCCACAGAGAAGGGTATTCTTAATAATATAAAAAGTCACAAGGTCTGAAAGTTCTGCACCAGCCTCCTTTCTACGCCAAAGAGATACAAATGCCAAAAGACACAGTGTATTGAACAAAACAACAACAAATGCCCACCTCCCCAGCCATACAGGGACCTGTAGTCACTTCCGGAGTGCCCACTTCTCTCAGCTAATATATGCAAAAACTTCAACAAATCAGCTACATTATATATTAGGATGTTAACCAAAAACATCCAAATTCTGTTGCTTAGTAACTGCTGTCAAAAGATCCAATTTCCAGCTCTGCTCTTTGTATAGACTAAACCATGAAAAGAGGAGGATTAGGCATCACGATTCTGTTCTGTGCAGACTACAATTTGCAGTGGGATTTACAGGAGGATATTCAAAGAAGATTATTTCTTTCGTGCAAAGCTAGTGGAAAGGAAAATTTCTTCCATTAATTTTCAATCCTTTGAAAATAAGACTATATCATGTTATTAATGGGTACAGTTTTATAAATCACTGGTAGTTTTACTTAATTTTGTTCAAACAATTTAGTTCTATCTGATTGTTCTACTTCATCTCTACTGATTGTATACTCAGAAAGCATCAAGATTAGGTAATTAGTTAAAATCAAATTCTGCTTTCTTCTTTTGTTCATTTAATGGCACGAATAGAACTAGTAAAATAGATTTTTAAACAAGTATTGATGCAAAAATGGATAAAGGAATTAAAATTTAAAAATAGAATGAAGTTTGGGAAGCAAACGTAAAATAGGGGAGAAGGGGAAGGTCTGTGAATACTTCAAACATCTTAATGGAACATATGGTATACCCCCCAGAACGTGAGGACAATACCTCATACATACTTCAGCAGTTTTGAGGAGTTTATCCATGGAGAAAGGATTCACTAATAAGCAAATTAAGAGAAGTACAAGGTGAATTTTAAATTAATTGAGAATAAACTACTTTCACGTATTTTAGCACCATCCATTTGTGAAAAAGAGGCAATAGTATAATTATAATAAAATCTCATGTACTCATTAAAGCAAGCCTAACAGCCCTCTCTACTAAAACTCTTACCTGTTGGTTTAAGTAATAAAGTGGTAGGTAAAGATGCTCTATGAATTAACTAATTCAGACCACACATCTTTAACAAAAATTAATGTGTTACATATTTTTCAGTTTCACAGACTATTGTCATTGCAAAACATTTTGAAAAATCTTAAATTTGAGCATTTAGTCATTGAAATGTAGCTAAAGAAATAACTAAATGCCAACCTTCTGCTTATCCAACTGGCAAAAAATATTTTAATAATATCAAGTACGGGTGAGAATCCCAAGAAACTCATACTCTTATATGGTGAAGCTACAAGTGTAAATTAGTACAACATTCTGAAGGCGTAGGCTTTATAAAACCAAGAGCATTTTTTACCTAAGAGTTTTGATAGCACTATGTATCAAAAATCTTTACAATACTAATATTTTTACCTTAGCAATCCCACTTCTGAGAATTTGTCATAAGGAAATAATAAAAAATGTATGTATAATAATAAGTAAAAATAACCACTACACTTCATTGATTTCATATTATATCCCAGGCACTGTGACACTTTACAGAAATTACCATCTAATTCTCATAACCCTATAATGCAGCTATTAATATTATCTTCATTTGACAGATGAGAAAACAGTGGCTTATAGGTTAAATGACATATCCAAGGTCATTCGGCCGGTCAGTGTGGAGAGCTGAGCAAGCCCAAATTCTCGGTCATGTTATACTACTCTAGTGAAGAAAAATCTAATGAGAAAATGGGGGCAGTAATTTCCCTAGTTTGGTAGTCCTATGGAATACTGTTTTTATATAAATTTTAAATTTTTAGTTATGGCTACATAATAGTTATACATATTTATGGAGTACATGCACCATTTTGATACAAGTATAAAACATGTAACGATCAAATAAGGGTAGTTGTGAAACTCATTAAGCATGTATCATTTCTTTTTGTTAGGAATATTCAATTTCCACTCTTGTAGTTATTTTGATCTATACATAATTTTTTTTTTTTAATCAGCTTTCACTGAGCTTCAGGTGGGGCTGGCCCGGCATGGCCAGTATGGCAGGGTGCCCTCGAGGGCCAGTCTGTGGCATGACAAGAAATGCAGGGGTGCACGTGTTGGGGCTGCCCTTTGGCACTCACTGGGGTGGGTCAGGGGAGAGCAAACACCAAGGTTCTCTGGAGACCGGAACCAGCCAGTGCAGCCATTTGGCTTCTCCCTCAGGACCAGCTGTCAGTCCCCAAGCCCTGAGGTGGTGCCTGCATCCTAGGTCTGTGGGGCATTACTGGTGTCACTCTGAGGGAGAAAGATGGCCAGCTGCTCAATCAGGATGATGAGCAGGCTACCACCCACCACTAGCCCCAAGTAGATCTGGCAATGGATGTTCTCCCAGCACTTCTTCTGGGCCAGGGTCTTTGTTGTCTTGCTGAAGGCTGAGCTCATATCCAGGAGTTGGTCTGAACGCTGCTCCAGTTCGGCCAGCTTTCCATCATGCTCCAGGACCTTGTCAAAGTTGTTAAGCGTGATTTCCGTCACCTTGTTCGCTTGCCGCTGGCACTGCTCCAACTCTTTCCCTGCCACCGCCACTGCCACCAGGCCCACTCCCCGAACGACACATTATTTTATTTTATTTTTTAGATGGAGTCTTGCTCTGTCGCCCAGGCTGGAGTGCAGTGGTGTGCTCTCAGCTCACTGCAACCTCTGCCTCCCGGGTTCAAGCGATTCTCCTGCCTCAGCCTCCTGAGTAGCTGGCATTACAGGGCACATGCCATCATGCCTGGCTAATTTTTGTATTTTTAGTAGAGACGGGGTTTCACCATGTTAGTCAGGCTGGTCTCGAACTCCTGACCTCATGATCCCCCCACCTCAGCCTCCCAAAGTGCTGGGATTACAGGCGTGAACCACTGTGCCTGGCCCATGATTTTTAAGTATAGTTAATTTATTGTGCTGTCCAACACTAGATCTTATTACTTCTATTTAATGGTATTTTTGTTACCACTACCCTTCCCAGCCTCTGATAACCATCATTCTAACTCTACCTCCCTGAGTTCAATTGTTTAGTTCCCATATATGAATGAGGACATGTGATATTTGACTTTCTGTGCCTGGCTTCTTTCACTTAACATGAGGTCTTCCAGGTCCTTCATCCATGTTGTTGCAAATGACAAGGATTTCATTCTTTTTAAATGGCTGTGTTACAGTCCACAGTGTATATGTGTCACATTTTCTTTATCCATTCATCCACTGAGGGACATTCAGGTTGATTCCATTCCACTACTGTGAATACTGCTGCAATGAACTTGGGAGTATAGATAACTCTTTGATATATATTATTTATAATTGTGAAAAAAACCTGGAAACAACCTAATTGTCCAACAAAAAGGGATTGTTCAGATATTAGACAGCTATTAATTTAAAATAATGTTCAGATTAGCTTTAGTTACACTGAAAAAAGTTCATAATATTTTAAGTGAAAAAAGCAAGTTTACATCAGTATGTTTCAATGTAATCCCCAATATATAAGGGAGGGGGTATATGTGTTCATGTGTACACATGTGTCTGAGTAGAAAAGAGAATTGAAGGACAAATATGAATTTATTGTTATTTTCTTCTGTTCTTTCTTGTATTTTCTAAATTATTTCTGTAATTAGAAAAAGCTACCTTAATTTTTGCACTTACAACAACAAAAGAAAGGTTTTCTCCAGAATTATAAAACTCTATAAATTATTTGTGCTCTGAAAAAAAATTAAAACATCTTCTTTCCATCCTCACACTAAAAATGGAGGTGCAGGCCGGGCGCGGTGGCTCATGCCTGTAATTCCAGCACTTCGGGAGGCTGAGGCGTGCGGATCATGAGGTCAGGAGATCAAGACCATCCTGGCTAACACGGTGAAACCCCATCTCTACTAAAAATACAAAAAAATTAGCCAGGCATGGTGGCGGGTGCCTGTAGTCCCAGCTACTTGGGAGGCTGAGGCAGGAGAATGGCATGAACCCGGGAGGTGGAGCTTGCAGTGAGCTGAGATCACGCCACTGTACTCCAGCCTGGGCGACAGAGCAAGACTCCATCTCAAAAAAAAAAAAAGGAGGGGCAAGAACAGTAGTGGGAGGTAGACTAGAACTTATACTAAAGAATGACATTTACATTTCATTTTCAAAAACAACCTGGAAGACTTAGCATCTTTAGACTGGTTTGACCCCTCAGGCTTCTGTCAACCTATCATTAGGTAACAATGTGAAAACTATTTGCAGGGAAATATTTTGTAATATTTCTAATATATTTCTAAGAAACCTATGCTTCATTCCTTTCTCTTTTCTGAACTTTAATGACAAAGAATAATATTTTTCCCCCAAGGAAAACCAAAAATTCTAATATAAATTTGTTATACTGCTGAAGCAGAAATAATTTTTATAATTTTAAGAGTGCACGGATGATCCGGACAGTGAATCATGAATTAAAACAATTTTGAATAAGCTTGTATGGACACTTATTTTTATACTCCCTAGCTTTCTACTCATCTGAAACTCTACCTTGAAAGGCTTCAACAATTTGAAGATTAAATAATAAGTTATTAAACCATTAATTTAACCATTTAAGCCTCTAAAATCAGCACATATTACCTTCCCCCTTCAAGTCAATTTGCAAGAGATTAAAATAATAAAAATGATAATATCTCACACTTACAAAGTAGCTTTGATCTGCAGAAGCCTGAAGTACTTTTTAAAAACTTTATAGAAAAACTAGGACCATCCACCCACATCTCAGAGTACATCTGAGGTAGAAGCTGGCAGCTGGTGGAAAGCAATGGAGTAATTTACCATCTGCAAAGATGACTACTACTTTTGAAAAAGCACAGGAATAGATGATTTAGGAGAATGCAAATAGAATTAGCTATTCAATAAATAAATGGGACATTCAACAGCTACAGATTTCAAGGGCTGTTATTTAAATTTTTACCAGAAGAAGTGGGTTAAGGGTTCCCATCAGAGGGAAAACGAAAAACAAAGAAAAACAGCCCTACCTACTCTAGGGAAATCACTGGTCCCAGTTATTCTATTCAGATTTTCCTGGGAAGGACAGATACTATTGGTTTCACCTCAGAGACAGAATAAACTATGATATTATAAGTTCTTTTTGCATCTGGCAATATTTCCTTTTCACACTCAATTTCAAACATTTTTATGTATTTCTCTGGACTCTTCAATGTGTATGCCTGGAATCCTGCTACAAGTTCGGCTTCCTCCATCCATCTGAAGTACCCTGTGCAATTTTCTGCCACCTGCACAAACAAGAGACTAGCTTCTCAAGCTTACATTTTTTGGGAGTCATCTTTTAAATCTATTTCTCTTCTTCAGTCTCTTTCCCAAAGAAACACCGAAGAATTCTACAATACATCTTTATAAAGCGAATGCCTAAGAGCAATGTAAAAGAAAACCCTGAGCTGTCTTTACTAGGGAGCACTTCAATTCTCAAGATTCTTTCACCTCATTCTGATTTTCCCACATCTCTTGGACTTACGGTCAGTTCATATCTATAAAAGATCAAGCATGAAAAAAAGAATTTAAATAAAAGAAATACTTCAGCTGGATACAAAAAATAATTTCTTGACTGGCAGTATGCAAAATTAGAATAGCAATGGAAACATGATCTAACAAGTAAGATGGAACAGCCATTTAGAGTCTTCATCATTGATTTTTGTTGTTGTTGTTGCATGGCACTTGCTTGAATGTAAGAGAGATGGACCAAATGGTCTTACAGTCTTTTCAGCTCTAGGATTCTATTCTATGCTGTTCTAACTTCACTGATGGTAGAAAGTGGCCATGTTAATTAAGAAGGTGACGAGTGGCACTTGGAGAAAGGAAGATGTATGAGAACTGCATTAAGTTACCAAGCAGATTCTGATTATTACCTAATATAAAACTATCCTTTTGTAGGGATTCCTGGGACTATTTTCCCATTGATACATCTCTGTCTTCCTCAACTTAATTGACCCCAAAGAGTTCAACTTTGTACAATAATGAAAGAACTTTAAAAAATCCTAAATGAATTTGTCCACTTTATTCAAACATTTTCAACTATAACTCTTTTAATCAAATTGATACAAAACTAGGCAATGAAACTTAATATGTATTAAACAAAGCATAATTTAGAAGGTAAAGGTACTCAATAAAATACATTACAAAGTTAGAAAATCTAAAACAGTCACTGCTTCCCCCATATTCTGCTGATAATTTGGTTCCACTTGAGAAGAACATAGTTGCTATGGGTTTATATGTATACATGTACAAAGGCATATATATGTGCACACACACACACATTTAAGAGATAGGAAATTAAAATGAAAGTAAAATCTTGATACCTTCTTCATGGCCTGACATTTGGCTGTTTCAGAAAAGCCAATCATTTTATCAGGAGAACAGATCTTGATGAACGGGAAGTTGGATTCCTCTGCAATTTTTGCAGCTAAAGCAGTCTTCCCACTGTGAGGAGGGCCTGCATAAAGATATGAGCAAGTCAGGGGAAAAAAGCCAACCTAAGCAAAGGGAAATAAAACAAGTTTAAACTTTTATCCAGAACATACTGAGGTCTCGACTAGTTGCTCATTAACATTTCCTGACACAATTTCACAGCAGACATGTTTTCTCTTATTTATTAGCAACTAAACTTAATGAACTAATTAGCATTTCTCAAAAGTATGGTGAAATACATGCCTCCTGACATTCTCACATATCCTTAATCTTTCAAACTTTTGGCAAAATATACAGAGTGTAAGGGTTTTGCTTCTTAAAAGAACGCATTCAAATGCATATTAGTACTTATGTTGTTAGTTCTATCAAATCATTTGTCTAACAAAAAAAGACAATCTTAAGAGCTGATATTGGGGGCAGGGGAAAACTGCCTTATTAGAAGCAAATGTGATGTAAAAAGTTAGAATTCTAAAGACTCAGGCCTTCTCATAAAGGCAAGCAAATCTACGAACTTACCTACATTTAGACATCCCTGCCTTCCCTTCCCTGTTTTGGAAGCTGTGTCCCTCGTTCAACCATAAACCAATCAAATCTTCCTTTCCATCTTCTCAGGAACATGACATTACTGATTGTTCCTTTCTCCCATATGTTCGACTTCTTCCTCTTCCCTGAAGCCTTTCCAAAAGTGTTTTAGCATGTTCTAGTCTATCTGACAGTTTAATACATAACAACAAAAAACTCTTTCTGAACATCATACCCCTCAAAACTGCACCTTCTTCTCCCTTCAAAATGGAACTTGCCTATGTAATTATTTACACTGGCTGCTTTTGTTCTTCACCTCCCACCCATCCTCACTAAATCTTACGGCTCCCATCCCCATTACACTGAACAGGCTCCCATCAAGGTCACAAATGATCTCCATGTCATCAAACCCAACAAACATTTTGGTATCTTTTTCAGCCTCTTAGGAGCATTTGATACAATTCATAATTCCCCTCTTTCTTAAAATATGTTTCTTTTCTTGGCTTCTGTAACACACACTCTCTCTTTCCCCTTTCCTCTCTGGTTACTCTTGCTCAGTCTCTTTTGTCAATTTTTCTGCTCTGTTTAGTCCTTACGTGTTAACATGCTTCAGAGACAAGTTCTAGGCCTCCTTTTCGTCTCAACCCACACCCTCACTGTAAGTGATTTCGTTCACTCCCATGGCTTCAACCACAATCTATATACTGGCAACTCATGAGTCTACTGCTAGCCAGACCCACATATCCAACAGGCTGCTCAACATTTCCGATTTACTTCTCCTATATGACCCTTGAATTTAACATGTTCAAAACTGAACTCATCATCTTTCTTCCAGAAATCTGCTTTCCATTAGTGTTCCCAATCTTAGTAAACAGCACCATTTATCGGGCTATGTATGCCAGAACCCAGGGGGTCATGTTTGATACCTCTGCCCACATCCAATCTAACAAATATTTCTAGGCTTCAGCTTCCCCACCTACAAAATAGAGACAACAGCAGCATCTACCCTTGGAGGACTGAAGTGGGGTTTAAATAGATAATATGTGCACAGTGCTAGTAGAGTGACTGGCAAATAGCAAGGGCTCAAAAACTGCTAGCATAATTATGATTGACAATAATAATGAGGTCATTTTTATTCTATCTTCTAAATATTTCTAATTAGTCTACTTATCTCCATCTACACTACTCCACATACTTCAAACCACAATCGACTCTCATTAAGACTAATCCAACTGCTTCTAACCATTAGTCTCTTCTGTATCTTTTTGCCCCTCCAATCCATTCTCCATCATAAAGCAGTGATGATGATGTGGCTTCACTGCTTAAAATCCTACAAATGGCTTCCCATTGCCCCTAAGATAGTTTAAATCTTTAATATGGCCTACAGGGTTTTATATGAACTGGCTTCTATCTGCTTCTACAGTCTCATGTCAGGACAATCTCCCTTTCTCTTTCAAGCTCCTTCCTGCCCAGGACTTTTTCACATGCTCTGCCTCAAACATCCTCCCCAGTGACTTTGGCTGGCCAGAGTCTCCTCATTGGTCAAGTCATGGCTTAATATGTTTCTCCCAGGGAGCTCTCATCCCCCAGACCTTTAGAGGTAGTTAGGTTCCCTTGTCATGGGGCCTCACTGAACTTTTCTGCCGTCATACTAATTATAACTGTAAATTAATTATTTGTGAATGGAATGTCCTTCCCCTTTTGTCTGTCTACTCAATAAAATCCTAACTGGTCTTTCAAGGCCTAGATTAAATAGCATCTCTAGTTTTCCCTGACCACCCCTATGCTAAATGACTTGTATTCACACACACCTTTACACACATACACCGTAGTCAGGAATTTCTTTACACTGTCTTTGTTCATGACCAGACTGAATGAACACTTGAATGTCTTTGTATCCCCAGCAACTAGTTCAATGACTAAAATACAAGTACTCAGTAAGTATTTATTTAATTGAATTGAGGCTAAGTGGCATCATTCAGTGTATTAAGTGCCACAGAAATACAGATATAATCCTACAAGAAAACTAGTTGCTATCTTTCCTCACTAACATTCTACCCCAAGAAAATTTTAATTTGTACACAATATTGGTACATAGATTGGATTACTATTTTCAGATCAAGAACAAGGTTAAAAACGAAAAAGAATTCACTTTTCTAGAATGTGCTTACGGGCTTTTAAAAAATGCTGCTTTTTTTCCTTTAACTTTTAATGCCATCTCCTCATTCATTCTCACCTTCCAGAAGCACGCTGACCAATGGTGTGCGGTCACTGTTCTTAGTCTGCTGCACCAGCAGCTCCCCATCATCTAGAACTCGAGTAACTGGGTCACCCCATTTGATGATACCGTTCATAATGTAACTTGCATAATCTTCTTGGTTTGTGCCAAAGGCCTATTAAGAAAAAGGAGTTTAAAGCATTTTGAGCCTTAGTGTTAAAAACTAACAGTATAAAAGACGAGTTATAATTCGTACATGCTAAAGGTATTGATCACTATCCCATATTAATATAAAAAGCCTGGAAAGCAAAACAACTTGTATAATTTCTCATTTAACTTTTTTCCCAATAGGAAAAAAAAAGCTGCTTTGGGTGACTTAATGGAATAAAAACAATGGATTCTAGGCTGAGATTCCACCAGACTCAAACCCTCATAATTCCTGAGAGAAAGAATATGTTCCAATGTGCTTATTTTTATCAACAGTATGCAGTTTGAGGCTGTTCTGTTAAGAACAAAGGAAAAAAGAGATTATGGACTTAGAAACAGCGCAATAGACAAATATGCTACCTTAACACTGACTGCAGGTGCTATGGATTAACATGAGAATACGAAATGGTAATGAGAAGATCATGTTCACATCAACTTTGTGGTAGGGGACATAGTTAAATGGCACCAATGTTAAGTTTATATGTGTAAATATAAGATTTAGGATGAGATAGAAATGAGGAGCTGTAATAAGAAGGATATAAAAGCAATTATTTCAGATAATAATTCTATTTGTGTTCACTACATATTGGAGCTTAAATTGCACCCTTCTTCATTGTCAACTTTTAATCTCAAAGGTTATACCTCCCATCAAAACAGCTGCCAAAAGTAGTCAATAACTTTAGTATTTACAATTGAACTGGATTTTCATGAGGTTAACAGAATAAATAGGAAAACATAACCTACTACATGTAAAGATCATGTACATGTAAAGATCATGTATCTTGAGAATTTCAATTTTTTAAAGATCATCACATCCCTCAAAATTCAACTTTTGATTACCTGATGTATGGAATAGTTTTAATAGTTCTTTAGAACATGCACCTCACATAAAGCTGTTTTTGTAATACTGTCTTTGAAACAGTATCCAGTGATCTCATATCTCTATTACTTTGCCACAAAATAATTTTTCAGACCACTTTTTAGATAGTCTCTTTGCATATACTGGTCCTTTGATTCCTGAATACAGAGGAAGGTTCTCATTCTTTGGCCTAGATATGGCAAATTCAGTAGCAGTGTAAAAAGTAATGATGAAACTAATCCAAACTGGCTAAATGGCTGTTCTAAGAAATTTTCATGGCCGGGCGCAGTGACTCAAGCCTATAATCCCAGCACTTTGGGAGGCTGAGGCGGGTGGATCACCTGAGGTATGGAGTTCCAGACCAACCTGGCCAACGTGGTGAAACCCCATCTATACTAAAAATACAAAAATTAGCTGGGTGTGGTGGTGTGTGCCTGTAATCCCAGCTACTTGGGAGGCTGAGGTAGGAGAATTGCTTGAACCCGGGAGGCGGAGGTTGCAGTGAGCCGAGATCACGCCACTGCACTCCAGCCTGGGAGACACAGCAAGACTCCATCTCATTTAAAAAAAAAAAAAAATTATAGGCTGGCTTTTGTCTTTAATTTTTCCAGTTATATACTCCAAGCCTCACAGCAGAAGCTTTAAGATGCCTGAACCATAAAACAGTGACTCTCCCAAGATATATAACGTGTATATCTTCCTTACATATCCCATAATTTCATTTTTTTTTTATCCTCCAGACCCTTGGAATAAATAAAATTAAGTTTTTAGTTGTCACTTCCTCATGGCCAAATTACTTGTTGTTAAAAAAATCTTGGAGTTACTTTTGAAAATGATTATTTTATATTTAAAAGTCACAATAGTAATAAAAAGACAGGGCTAACCAAATTGGCTTTTGTCTTTAAAGGAGATACTTGGAACAAATAATTATTGTTAAGAATATATAACAGGCCAGGTGCAGTGGCTCATGCCTGTAATCCCAGCACTTTGGGAGGCCAAGGTGGGTGGATCACGAGGTCAGGAGATTGAGACCATCCTGGCCAACAAAGTGAAACCTCGTCTCTACTAAAAATACAAAAATTAGTCGGGCATGGTGGCGCATGCCTGCAGTCCTAGCTACTCAGGAAGCTGAGGCAGGAGAATCACTTGAACCCAGGAGGCGGAGGTTGCAGTAAGCCAAAATTGCGCCACTGCACTCCAGCCTGGCAACAGAGCAAGACTCAGTCTCAAAAAAAAAAAAAAAAAAAAATATATATATATATATATAAAATAAATGGTGGCCAAGTGCAGTGGCTCATGCCCATAATCCTAGCACACTGGGAGGCTGAGGTAGGTGGATCGCTTGAGGTCAGGAGTTTGAAACCAGCCTGGCCAACATGGTGAAACCCTGTCTCCACTAAAAATACAAAAAAATTAGCCGGGCATGGTGATGGGTGCCTACAATCCCAGCTACTGGGGAGGCTGAGGCAGGAGAATCACTTAAACCTGGGAGGCAGAGGTTGCAGTGAGCCGAGATTGTGCCACTGCACTCCAGCCTGGGTGACAGAGCAAGACTGTCTCAAAAAAAAAAAAAAAAAAAAGGATATGTAACAAATGGTTGATAAGCATATGAAAAGATACTTATCACCACTAATCATTACGAAAATACAAATCAAAACTAGAATGAGATGTCACTTCATATTCATTAGGATGGCTACTACCAAAAAAACAGAAAATAATTTGTTGGTGAGCATGTGGAGAAGTCAGAATTTTTGTGCACCACTGGTGGGAATGTAAAATGGTGCAGCCACCGTGGAAAACGGTATGGTGGTCCCTCAAAAAATTAAAAATAGAATTACTATATGATCCAGCAATTCCACTTCTGAGTATATACCCGAAAGAACTAAAAACAGGGTCTTGAAGAGATATCTGTACAGCCATGCTAATGACAGCATTACTCAAAATAGCCAAAACGTGGCAGAAGCCTGGCTGCCATTGACAGAGGAATGGATAACAACATGTGGTATGTACATATCATGGATTTTTTTTTTTTTTTTTTTTGAGACAGGGTCTTGCTCTGTCACCAGGCTGGCGTGCAGTGGCACAATCTCGGCTCACTGCAACCTCCACCTCCCGGATCCAAATGATTCTCATGTCTCAGCCTCCCGAGTAGCTGGGATTACAGGTGTGTGCCACCACTCCTGGCTAATTTTTGTATTTTTTAGTAGAGATGGGGTTTCACTATGTTGGCCAGGCTAGTTTTGAACTCCTGACTTCAGGTGACCCACCCACCTCAATCTCCAAAAGTGCTGGGATTACAGGCAAGAGCCACCACGCCTGGCCCATATAATGGAGTATTATCCAGCCTTAAAAAGGAAGAAAATTCTGACATGCTGCAAGATGGTTGACCCTTGAGGACATTATGCTACGTCAAATAAGCTAGTTACAAAAAGACAAATACTATGATTCCACTTACATGGGTACTTAAGATTACTGAAATTCATAAAGATGGACAGTAGAATGGTGGCTGCCAGGTGTTGTAGGGGAGGGAAAAAAGAGTTATTATTTAATGGGTATAGAGTTTCAGTTCAAGAAGAAGAAAAGAGTTTTAGAGATGGATGGTGGTGATGATTATACAACATTATGAATATACTTAATACCACTGAACTATACATTTGAAAATGATTACAATGGTAAACTTTATATGTATTTTAACACAATACAAAATTGAGAAAAAAAGAGTATATAAAGAACTTGTATCAATCAAATAAGCAGTACAACAGAAAAACAGGCAAAAGACTTGGACACTATTTCACACAATACATGCATATGGTCAATTAACATATGGAGAAATGCTTAAGTTCTCTAATAACTAAAATGCAAATCAAGACTGAAATGAGATCTCATTTTACACCTAACTGAATGGCAAAAATTAAATCTGAGGCTGGGTGCAGTGGCTCACGCCTGTAATCCCAGTACTTTGGAAAGCCGAGGCAGGCAGATCACCTGAGGTCAGGAGTTCGAGACCAGCCTAGCCAACATGGTGAAACCCCGTCTCTACTAAAAATACAAAAATCGGCCAAGCATGGTGGCAAGCACCTGTAATCCCAGCTACTCGGGAGGCTGAGGCAGGATAATTGCTTGAACCCGGGAGATGGAGGTTGCAGTGAGCTGAGATCACACCACTGCACTCCAACCTGGGCGACAGAGTGAGACTCCATCTCAAAAAAAATAAATAAATAAAAAATAAATCTGATAATACCAAGTGTTGGAGAGGATACAGAACAAGAGGATATGTTTCACAGTATTGGGGGCAGTGTTGGTTCAACCACTGGGAAATGTTTTTTTAAAGCGGGACATTCATATATCCAACAACCTAATAATTTTATTCCTAAATAAGAGAAATTCATTCAAGAATTCTTACGACAAATCTTTTTTTAATAACAAAATACTGGTAACATTCACAATTGACAGGAAAATAGATAAATTGTGGTACTCACACAATGGAATGCTATTCAGCATGAAAATGAATGATGTCTAGCTACAAGAAATCATATACATCAGCAGTCCCCAACCTTTGTGGCATCGGGGACCAGTTTTATAGAAGATAATTTTTCCATTGGGGGAGGAGGTGGTTTCGGGATGTTTCAAGTGCGTTACATTTTTTTTTTTTTTTGAGACAGAGTCTCGTTCTGTCACCCAGGCTGGAGTGCAGTGGTGCGATCTTGGCTCACTGCAACCTCTGCCTCCTGGGTTCAAGCGATTCTCCTGCCTCAGCCTCGTGAGTAGCTGGGATTACAGGCACGTACCACTACATCCAGCTAATTTTTGTATTTTTAGTAGAGATGGGGTTTCACCATGTTGGTCAGGCTGGTCTCGAACTCCTGACCTCGTGATCCGCCCGCCTCAGCCTCCCAAAGTGCTAGGATTACAGACACGAGCCACCATGCCCAGCCCAAGCACATTACATTTATTGTGCACTTTATTTCTATTATTATTACATTGTAATATATAATGAACTAATTATACAACTCACCATAATGTAGCATCAGTGGGAGCCCTGAGCTTGTTTTCCTGCAACTATATGGTCCCATCTGGGGGTGATGGGAGACAGTGACAGATCATCAGGCATTAGATTCTCATAAGGAGTGTGCAATCTAGATCCCTCAGATATGCAGTTCACAATAGGGTTCATACTCATATGAGAATCTAATGTCACCACAGATCTGACAGGAGGTGGAGCTCAGGTGGTAACACGAGCAATAGGGAGTGGCTGTAAATACAGATGAGGCTCACTCACTTGCTGCTCACCTCCTGCTGTGTGGCCCAGTTCCTAACGGGCCATGGACCAGTACTGAGGGTTGGGGATCCCTGATATAGATGACTCTTGGTAATAAAATATTTAATAAATAGCAAGTCCCAGAAAACTACATATACCATATGTTATTTTACATGCCATGAAAATACAGACTAATAACAGTGTGTCATAAAGATTAAGATTAATCTTAATGGACCTGAGGTCCATTTAAGAAAGAAAAGCACACACTTCTTTAAGAACTGGGACTTTCTACAATTTGTTTTTGTATTAACACAGGACTCTAAACAAAAGTTACTCAAATGTTAGTAGTTGTTTTATAGGAAAATGGGTTAATAACCTTAAACTGTATTCTAAAGCTCCAACTATGACCATTTTGAGTGCGTTTTAAGAAAACTGACACTTTTTAAGTCTTAGAAACTATAGTAGTCAGAGAAACTAAATGTACTGAGCAAGAAAAAGGGATGCCTTGGAAGAGGCTGAGGAAAGGAAGAGAAAGAGAGAGAGAGAGAGAGACAGAGGAGGATATGAGAGTTAATTTTAAATATCCTAATAACTGACATATGGAAGATGGACTGAAGTTAGGTTTCTGTAGCTTGGGATTGTATAAGAACCAATAAGAAAATTAGTTCTAGTTCAATATAAAGTAAAACAATAACTGGAAAGTCTCAAAATTGAATGGCCTGCCTTACAAGATGGTAAGCTTCCTATCATGAAAATATTTCAGTAAATAATATCACCAGCCACTAGGATTATTGTACAGATGTTTCTCATACTGAACATTTCCAATACTAAAATTTTCTCATTTTATGAAACTGCATATGCTATAACCTTCCATAATACTGAGTAAATGGCACTTACTTTTCGCCTGAGTTATTATTATCATTACTTTTTGGCCTATATATCACTCAATGGGCATACTCACTGGTTTGATATCATTCTCCAAAGAAGCAAGGAAGTCTCCTCTCGTCACTTGCAGGCTTTCTGCTTTCTCCATGTCCACTTCCACTTTAGTACTGGCCTAAGAAGAGATAAAAACAAAATGTAAGGACTTCCAAGATTTAAGAATAGTTAAGAATATATTCAGTTTAAGAACGTAACTCTTGAGGATTTAAAAGCATATTTTCACACATAAAAAAATCTGAAATATTTGCAAACCATATATGTGATAAGGGATTAATATCCAGAATACATAGAGAACTGCCAAAATTGAACAACAAAAAACTAAATAAAAAATGGGCAAAGAACTTAAACAAACATTTCTCCAAAGAAGATATACAAATGGCCTTAAATAAGCACATGAAAAGATGTTCAACCTCACTAATCATTAGGGAAATGCAAATCCAAACTACAAAGAGATTTCACTTCATACTCATTAGGATGGCTACTACCACAAAAATGCAGAAAATAAGAAGTGTTGGTGAGGATGCGGAGAAATCAGAACCCTTATGCACTGTTGGTGGGAACATAAGTAAAATGGTTGAGTCACTGTGGAAAACAAAAATATGGTGGTTCCTCATAAAATTAAAAATAGAATTATCATATGATCCAGCAATTCCACTTCTGGGTATATACCCCCAAAGAACTGAAAACAGGGTCTTGAAGAGATATCTGTACAGCCTTGTTCATGACAGCATTACCCACAATAGCTAAAATGTGGAAGAAATCCATATGACCATTGACAGAGGAATGGATAAACAAAATGTGTTACGTACATACAATGGAATATTATTCAGCATTAAAAAGAAAGAAAATTCTGATATCCTGCAACATGACGAACCTTGAGGACCATATGCTAAGTTAAATAAGCAAATACTGTACAATCCACTTATATGAGGTTCCTGGAGTAGCTGATATCCAAGAGACAGAAAGTAAAATGGTGGCTGCCAGGGGATAGGGAGAGGAAGGAATGGGGAGTTACTGTTTATGGGTATGGAGTTTTAGTTTTACAAGATGAAAAGAGGTCTGGAGATGAATGGTAGTGATGGTTGCACAACATTAAGAATGTATTTAATGCCACTGAATTGTACATTTAAAATGGTTACACGGTAAATTTTATGGTTTTCTGTTTTTTGTTTTTTTTTTTTTTTTTTTTTTTTGAGACGGAGTCTCACTGTGTCCCCCAGGCTGGAGTGCAGTGGCGCGATCTCGGACGCTGCAAGCTCCACCTCCCAGGTTCATGCCATTCTCCTGCCTCAGCCTCCCGAGTAGCTGGGACTACAGGTGCCCACCACCACGCCCGGCTAATTTTTTGTATTTTTACTAGAGACAGGGTTTCACCATATTAGCTAGGATGGTCTTGATCTCCTGACCTTGTGACCACCCGCCTCGGCCTCTCAAAGTGCTGGGATTACAGGCGTGAGCCACCACGCCCGGACAATTTTATGGGCATTTTAAAACAATTTTAAAAATTGGAATCAAAGAAAACACATCTCTCAAATTCACAAATATATATATCCTCTGAACAAGTCCACTTCTAGTAATTTATCCCCTAAATATATTCACAAATGTGTACAAAGTTATATGTACAAGTATATCTACTAAAGTAACTTGTTATGAAAAAAGATGGGAAGCATATTAATAATGTCTACCAAGAGGGGATCAGTTATGTAAATTAGAACACATCTGTACCAAGGGACACTGTATAGCCATTTTAACTCATGAGGCATGAGTAAGAAAAAATACATACAGAGAGTAAGAACAGTGAAAAATCCATACAAAAAGAAAATATATACAGAAATGAAAACACAGCCATACTTGGCTGCATATCAGAATAACCTCCAGAGCCTTCAGAGATATACAGGCGCTCAGTCCCATTCCCCACGGGATTTTGATTTAACAGGCCTATTAGAGGGTCTTTATAGTTTTACCAAGTACCACAGGTGATTCTGGTACTGAACCAGGCTTAAGAACCATTACTCTAGGAGACCAAGAACCTAAAACTTTCATTTGTATTAATACATTGTGCTTCAGAATCTATGTGCCAGCTCCAAATAGTCTGCTTACTGCACCTGGAGCTAGCATTTAGACATCTGGAGAAGCATCAAGGCCTTTATCAGCACTTGGAGCTGCCTGGACCAGATGAGTGATTAAGATACCAACACGTGTTTTAAAGCGACTGGGCTCACTACCAATAGCACAAAACAACACAGCCTAATTTTTAAATTGGTATCATGGCTTTGAAAAAAAAAGCATTTTCAAAAAAAGCTGACTATAAAACAAACGCATGTTAAATAAATATCAACCTTCCATCAATTATTATGAAATATGAGTCATATTTTTTTTAGGAAGAGACTGTGAGACAAATGAAGTGACAGATATAAAAAAAAGTCATCCTTGTGGGATAAAAAGAACTATGGCAGGAAGCTGGGTGAAGATGGCAAACAGAACACAGTTATTTATCTTCCCTTCCGCCCCAAATCCCACAAAATGACAGAAAGTGAGACAGAAAGGCTACAAAGCATGAAAGAAATATCCATAAGTTTTAACTGTGATCTAACAGGAGTCTCAGAAGGAGAGAACAGAAAGAGTCATAGAGAAGAAACAATAAAAGACAGAAGAGAAAAAAATTTCCTATAGCTGAAGAAAGGTGTGCCTCTGCAGTTTAAAGGGTTCAGTGAGTGATGATCGGGATAAATGAAAAGAAGCACACATCTGTCCAGACCCACTGCTGTAAACTTTCAGAGCACCAAAGGTGAAGAGAAAGTCCTAGAACCTTTCTGAGGGACAAAACAGGTTTCCTGCAAAGAAACCAGAACGAGATTGGTATGATAACTCTCACTGGCAACACTAGAAACTAGAAGACAATGAAACCATGTCTTTGAAAAGACATTTGGATGGCTACCCTAGAAAATGATTCCTTGTGTGCACAGGGAGGCAAGTAAGCATTTTCACAACAGTATTTTTTCAACAGCCACAACCAGAAATAATCCATATGTTAAATAAATTATTCATTAATTCTATTTACTGAATACCTACCAGACACCAAGCACTATCTGAGGAACTGGAGTCATAGCAGTAAATAAAACAGAAAAGGTCCCTGTGTTCATGGATCTTATATTTTCCATTATGTGGCAATATTCTAGAATACTCTGCATTTGTCCAAAATAATGAAGGGGACTTACATACACTGACACAGAAAGCTATCCAAGGAATATTTGCAAGTGAAAAATGTAAACTGCAGTATAATTCCATTAATGTTCATTTTTTTAAAAAAGCACATACGTATATGAATGTAAATATTATATAAAGAAAACAAACTTCAAAGATATATCCCAAATTTTGGCTAACTCTGGAGAGGGAAAGGAAAGTGGTGTTAGAGATGGCCTTTCTCATTTTTCCCTATATGCTTTGACATTCTTGAATCTTTTACAAAAAGAAAGCCATCATCTATAACTTCTATACTTTTAAAAATAAAGTAAAAAGTAACAAAGAGACAAATATTTTACTTCAATAGAACAATTAACATTTAAATTATTGGGCTGGGCATGGTGGCTCACGCCTATAATCCCAGCACTTTGGGAGGCTGAGGCAATAGGATCACCAGGTCAGGAGATCGAGACCATACTGGCTAACACAGTGAAACCCTGTCTTTACTAAAAATACAAAAAAGTAGCCAGGCGTGGTGGCAGACACCTGTAGCCCCAGGTACTCAGGAGGCTGAGGCAGGAGAATGGCGTGAACCCGGGAGGCAGAGCTTGCAGTGAGTTGTGATGGCGCCACTGCACTCCAGCCTGGGCGACAGAGTGAGACTCCGTCTCAAAAACAAAAACAAACAAACAAAAAAACATAAACATTTAAATTATTAATAGGGCTTATATTGGCACATATGAGGTTTGATAAATATTAATCGCATTTATTTGGCATTTCTAAGTTTAAAAAAAGAAAAATGGGCCTGGCACGGTGGCTCACACCTATAATCCCAGCACTTTGGGAGGCCGAGGCAGGCGGATCACCTGAGGTCGGGAGTTCGAGACCAGCCTGACCTACATGGCGAAACCCTGTCTCTACTAAAAATACAAAATTAGCCAGGCATGGTGGTGGACACCTGTAATCCCAGCTACTCTGGAGGCTGAGGCAGGGGAATCGCTTGAACTCGAGAGGCGGAGGTTGTGGTGAGCCGAGATCACGCCATTGCACTCTAGCCTAGGCAACAAGAAGAAAACTCCATCTCCAAAAAAAAAAAAAAGAAAAAAAGAAAAATGGTGTCACAGGAAACAAGCATATCCGTGAAAGAATTATGATAATTAATAATATACAAATGTCTACAGTTCTTTATAGTTTATAAAGTATGTTCATACACACTATCTCATTTCACCATATCACATTATCTCATTTTATACTTATACAAACCTGGGGGTTTCCATAAGTTATAAAAGGCAGATACAGGACTTCCTTCCTAGATACCCTTATATAAAAGTTTTAACTCTGATTCAAACTTTTTGATACATCTGAAAGGATTCTACAAGATACAAACTCTCAGGCCAAAGGGAAGACAAGAGCTCTGACCGAAACATTAAAATCTCAACAAAGCTACCAGCCTCACTTTAAACACCTCTTTCCTACACAGGCCTAGGTTTTTACCATAATATTTTGCATTCTGATTCTCTTACAGTAAAACCGAATTCAAATGATAGATACATACAGCAGTATGAAAGAAAAATCTTGCCCATCTTTCAAAATTTGCCAAAAAATACGATAGATTTTAGGACTGAAGCTGGTATAAAACTTGTCATTTTGCTAATTATTAAGAAAAGACTCACCCAATTAATTGCTGAGTCCTTTCTTAAAAGTGAATTAAGATGGGTGTGGGGAAGAAGTATTTCAAAACAAACTGTTTTCAGGCACATAAGGAATTCTGTAAGTTACATAATTGTAAGCCATCAATATTCCAATTGTCAATTATTCCTACCTGCTCATTAAAATAAATTTTCTAAGGACTGCTCTTAGCTGACTTTTAGCATTTTATCAAAATTTGTAAAATTTTAAAAAGTCTATAATTCTGAATTTTTACTTTTTCAGAAAACCTTTTCTCATTTGTTTGAATTAGCAACATTTTTCCTGCATTTTATTTATAACAGCTAATCAATATAGAAGAGGCAGCATCTTTCAGCTTATACCTGCAGAAACTAATAAACTTGTATTTCAACACTAGCAAATATCAAGTGGTCACCCTTAAATTTCATAACCTTTTAAATCTGACCTTTCAAAGTTCTTATCATTCCTCTTAAATTAAGGGTAGAATGACCTTAATCAATCAAAAATTCTGCAAAAAAATAAGAAATAATTTTATGAAATTCTGTAAACATAACTTAGAGCTTTGACTCAGGTGGAAAGTGTATGTGAGAGAAAGTGTGTGTGTGTGTGTGTGTGTGTGTCCTCAGTTTATTTCCTCACAACAGATTAGAGAAAAAATTTGGGTTATGAATCTTCTCAACCTGAAGCAGAAATTCCTTTCAAGATAAAAACAACCAAATGTCACATGAATTTTAGTTGACCGCAATCATAGGTTCAAGTATAAATGACATGAACAACAGGTGTTTCTGACCAGATTTTCCACTTGTCTCAGAAAACCTGAAAAAACAGTTTAACAGGAAAGACCTGTTTAGTCCACCTGACTAAATCTTTCTTTAGGCCTCAATCTTTTGAAAAGGAAGCAAAATAACACCAATAATGGATTTTTAAAATACAAAGAAAGAACATCATAACACTTGTACGTTTTGAATGTTTTAAAGTTCAGTAACAACTTTATAAGTTTCAATTTAAATATTTATTCATCAATCACTATTAAAGCTACAAACATCTATAGCAATGGAAGACTAAAACTGTACTTCTTTTGTTTAGCCAAGGACGAGTCATTGGAAAAATAGTCTTTAAAGACCTTCTGACAATGCAGATTTTTTAAAATGCAGAAGATGAAATGTTAGTAATATTTCTTTTTGGGGGTAAGGTTAGTGTCTTACATAGCTTTCTCATCCCTAAAGTGCCTACATAGTTATTCCATTGATATGGTGAAAAGTTAGGAGCTGTTTGGTACAAGGAGCAATGATCGCAAGTCAATACATATCACCTGAAGCTTACAGATAATTCTATCATGTGGAAAAAAGTGATGGAAACATGAACTATTTGCACTACTGCTTACTTGCAAATCAGAAGGATAATATATTATGTACAAGGGTGACAAACATTTTAGCTTTACAATTAGAAAATGTGTAACTACAAAGAGTCAATAAAAATCAGAAATTCATATATTGAAAAGTACTGATATCCTCTCAAATCAGCCAATTAAAAAAATGGAGATAACTAGCATTTATAGAGTTTACAAGGCACTTTTATATAAAGTATTTGCTTTCATTCTCATAAAAATCTGATTAGATAGGTAGTGTCTCCCCTTGACAGGTCAGAAACAAAAAGGTGGAAGAAATATAATGCATAACCACACCTTCTGACTACGATATCTGCGATCTTCCCACCATCCCTCATTGCCTCATATGTAGATAAACCCAATATATGCTTGAAGAAAGCATGTTTCTTACTGAGACAACGGCTTAAAGTGAAATTTTGGGATAGGATTATTGTAGTTAAAATGACAGATGACTAAATAAGAGAAAAATTCCATGGCCAACACATATGAAAAATATGACAACTAGTAAACTAGTTACTGTGGATTACATCAAGATGCACCCATGTGGTCTGAGATGAAAGATCAGTATGGTAGGGACCAGTTTTCACACTGTTTACATCATTTTTCTTGAAGTTGCCATCTCTTCTTATTAAAACAGTATAGCATGGCCGGGCATGGTGGCTCACGCCTGTAATCCCAAAACTTTGGGAGGCCGAGGCAGGCGGATCACGAGGTCAGGAGATCGAGACCATCCTGGCTAACACGGTGATCCCATCTCAACTAAAAATACAAAAACTTAGCCAGGCGTGATGGTGGGTGCCTGTAGTCCCAGCTACTTGGGAGGCTGAGGCAGGAGAATGGCTGAACCTGGAAGGTGGAGCTTGCAGTGAGCCGAGATTGCACCACTGCACTCCAGCCTGGGCGACAGAGTGAGACTCCGTCTCAAAACAAACAAACAAGGAAGAATAAAAACATAGTCCCTGAATGGATCCATTATATAAAGACCCAATACAATATTCCCACACCATCCAAACCTTTGGCATTCTTGAGCTAGAACAAATCCACCTCTATTATGTAGGGAAATTATGACTTATGGATAGAGCGTGATTCAGAATAGTTACGTAAGTTTACTCATTTAAAAAATATTGGCTGGGCATGGTGGCTCACACCTGTAATCCCAACATTTTGGGAGGCTGAGGCGGGCGGATCACGAGGTCAGGGGTTTGAGACCAGCCTGGCCAACATGGTGAAAACCCATCTCTACTAAAGATACAAAAAATTAGCTGGGCGTGGTGGCACATGCCTGTAGTCCCAGCTACTTGGGAGGCTGAGGCAGGAGAATCACTTGAACCCAGGAGGCAGAGGTTGCAGTGAGCGAAGACTGTGCCACTGCACTCCAGCCTGGGCGACAGAGTAAGACTCTGTTTCAAAAAAAAAAAAGAAAAATAATTTACTGGACACCTACCATGTGCTCATTATTTAGATCTATCTGGGGTACTATGGGAGACTCTGAGGTGAATAAGATAAGGATTTAAAGTCTAGAACAAGGGCCAGCAAACTTCTGTAAAGTGGCAGATAGTACCTAAAATAAAAGCACTAAAATAGGCTTTGTGGGCCATGCAGCCCCTATTGCAAATACTCAACTCTGCCACTGTAGCATGCAGGCAGCCATAGACAGTACACAAATTAATGTGTACTGTTCCAAAAAAGCCCTTTATTTATAAAAACTGGTAGTTGGCTGGATTCCTGGTCTAGAACCAGTGATAGGATATACCCAAATATCTACATACTCAACCTAACTGTTCAGGCTTTTATTTCTTGCCTGAACTGTTATAAAAGCTCCCCCTCTTGTCCTGTGTCGCCAACTCCACTCCTCTAACTACTCCACTCGACAGAGCTGCCAGAGTGATCTTATGTTTTAACACTATGTCACTGCTATTCTTAAAACTCAATGGCTTAGCACTACTCACAGAAAAAAAGTCCATACTTCTTAGCAGAGTATAAAAGGCTCTTTGTGCTCCATCCCTACTTTAGTCTCCTGACTTATCCCCCACAATCTCTCTACCATCCCTCCCCTAACTTCCATGCTGAAGCAATACTAAACTACTCCAACGCACTATGCTATTCTGTGTCTCTGCTTCTTTGCATATGTTGTTCCCTCTACCTAAAAGGCCCTGCTCTACCAACAGACATGCATATGAAGGTTTCTCTCACCCCACAAGTTGACCATATCTGACATGAGTTCACTCTCTTGCCTTGCATGTACTTTCTGTTACTGCACGTGGAGGGTTAGACTGAGGGCAGCTTAATGGTAGGTACTTTACTTCTTTGCAGTCGGGGTATTAACTCCTAGCACAGGGTCTAGCATGCAGTAGATGCCGAATAAATCTACTGTGAACCAAAGTCAACTGACAGTACCATAAATGATACATTACTATTTCAAGAAGGAAACGGGTATAACATTCTTGAAAGGGAAAATGTGAAAAGGTGTGAGGACAGTGGTAGCATATGAGCCAGGTTTTGAAAAGACAGGTAAACGTAGAGGATGAAGATCCTCAGTGATGCAAAAAAAACAAAACCAAAGCAGAGATGTTGAAAAATAAATTAATGTCTGATGACCGGTGATTATTTAAGTTTGGCTGAAGTATGTGGAGAATAATCAGGAGCACATTTGGAAAGGCCAGTTAGGGTCAGATCTAGAGGACCCAAAAGACCCAAAAGAAGCCTGTACTTTGTTTTGTAAATGATGGGGAATCACTGAAAGTGTCTGAATGGTTGAATGATATGATACAGGAAGGTTAATCAAAGAGAAGGTGGGTAGTGGCAGTGAGAACTAAAAGGCACTGCCAAGACAGAACTGAAAAAATTTGGCAAGTGACTTGACCTAGGGCACAGTAGAGTGCCAGGAATCAAAGATAATCCTGATGTTTTAAGCCTGGGAAATTGGGATAAACAGGGAAATGCGAGCAGAAAGGAAAGTAGTAAAAAAGACAATAAATTTGGTTTTGCAATATTAAATCTGAGACCTGATAAAACATCTAGGTGAGGGTATTTAGTACAAATCTGAAAGTAGGAGACAGATATGTTCAGTAAATCTGTCTACAGGTGGTAACTAAAACCTAAAGGAGAGAAGAGATGGAAGATCAAGAGCACTTTATCAAAATAAAAGTATCCTAGTACGTATTTCTACCATGGTAACTACAATATTATTGTACTAATTTGAAAATATGTCCATTTTCCTGACTCTGAACTCCTTGAGGGAAGAGTTCACAATTATCTTTATGTCTCCAGCCCAATAGCTTGAACACATCAACTATTCAATATATTTGCTGAATAAAGCAGCCCCCAAAATTCTAGTACGTGGAAACTCCCACTTCCTCTGACATATTACAACTTTTTTTTTTTTTTTGGAGACGGAATCTCGCTCTGTCACCCAGGCTGGAGTGCAGTGGCGCAATCTCAGCTCACTTCAAGCTCTGCCTCCTGGGTTCACACCATTCTCTTGCCTCAGCCTCCCGAGTAGCCGGGACTACAGGTGCCCGCCACCATGCCCGGCTAATTTTTTGTATTTTTAGTGGAGACGGGGTTTCACCGTGTTAGCCAGGATGGTCTCGATCTCCTGACCTTGTGATCCGCCCGCCTCAGCCTCCCAAAGTGCTGGGATTACAGGCATGAGCCACCATGCCTGGCCATATTACAACTTTTAATACAATACAAAGATTTAAAAACACTTCTTCAAAATTTTCACTTTACGTGTCTGTGTCAGATGGTGATGACCTAAGGTAGATGAGTCAGTGGTTACTACAGGGCAGATGCAAACATTATCTTCCTTCCTGCTACTCTGAAGATTTAGCAGTTGACAATTAATTCTTATTCCTTTTACCATCTCTTCTCCACCAAAAGTCAGCATTTCCCTACCCCTTGATATGCTTGAAAGGAAAGAGAAAGAATACTGGCATAATGTTTATAATCTGTTTAGCTGATTTTCCTGACCTTTATGTGTCTATTCATAGCAGTGGACTGGGCTGCTCGCACCAGACCCTCCAATTCAGCACCACTGAAATTCTTGGTCTCCACGGCCAGTTCTTTAATGTCTACATCAGCAGAGAGTAACTGATGCCCTCTCATTCTTGCTGTGTGGATGTGAAGAATCTGTAGTCGGCCTTTCTCATCTGGCAAGCCTGATGAAATTAAAAATAAAATAGGCATTTTCCTAGTCTCGAAAGCACCATCAGAGGAGATTATCATTATTATTATTACTATTATTTTGAGACAGAGTCTCGCTCTGTTTCCCAGGCTGGAGTGCAGTGGTACGATCTCAGCTCACTGCAACCTCTGCCTCCTGGATTCAGGCGATTCTCCTATCTCAGCCTTCCGAGTAGCTGGAATTACAGGTGCACACCACCACACTCGGCTAAGTTTTTTGTATTTTTAGTAGAGAAGGGGTTTCACCATCTTGGCCAGGCTGGTCTCGAACAACTGGCCTCAAGTGATCCACCTGCCTCAGCCTCCCAAAGTGCTGGGATTACAGGTGTGAGCCACTGCGCCCAGCCTAGAGGAGATTATTATGATCCTAATGTTTTCCTTATAGGTACTCAAGCATGTAAACATCTACTTCTCATGATATAAACCTTTTCTAAAAAATACTACACCATATGACATTGTTCCTGTTAATGAACTCTAAATGCCTCCACTCCCCCCACCACACACCCAATCAGTGACAGATCTCCTTACCTATCTCCATTTTAACTTCCAGTCTTCCAGGTCTAAGAAGAGCCTCATCTATCAGATCTGGTCTATTGGTCATTCCTGAACACAGATGTTAAAACAAAACAACAAATGATCAGAGTTCAAAAATAAAATCAAATGTCCTTTTAGTATATGTAAGAATAGTAATTTCCCTAACAAGCTAAGGAGACTTTGCTTTACTATTTCACTACTGTATAAGCCAATGGAATATAAATGTTATGAAAACTTCCAGTATTTAAAAAGAAAATTTAAGATTCAAAGGGTAAATAATCTGTCAAAGTGACAGAGGGGCAATGTGACACGATCTCTCTGACTCCAAAGTTCCTTCTCTTTTTTACAGGCCAGTGGTTTTCAGACTTCATAAAACAGCAGGGTGTTTTTTTTTTTTTTCCCCCAGAAGTCATCTTCAGAAGCACCTCAGTACATAAAACAGCTAAAAGAGGAAGTTATAATAGTGATGTAGGATCTGAAACGCACTCCCTGGCCCTCACTGACCCTGAAAGCACCTCTGAGGACCCCCGAAGGCCTGCAAGACCCAGTTTGAAAACCACTGCATTCCATTGTTTCATGTGTATTTTTCATTTTTGGGTGAGCTATAAGCTTCAACCTACATCTTTTTCACCTGTGGGTGAGCTATAAGCTTAAACCTACAAGTGACTGAAATCCATCTTTTATTTTTCCTATTAAGCCTAGGCATTACAATAGATTCTTCAATATCACTGGATTCTAATTTGGAAACACTGGCAAAACAGTTTAATCACAACCTACACACATCTTAATTCAGAACTTATGGCTAACGTTTTTGAATGAATAGTACTTTTTTAAAAAGTAAACATACCAATGACTAGGATGTTGTTTAGCTGCTCCACGCCATCAATTTTGGACAGCAACTGGTTGACAACAGTGTCATGAACTCCCGTGCTACCAGCCATGCTCCCTCTCTGCTTGCAGATGGCATCAATTTCATCAAAGATGATGATGTGCAAACCACTGTTAGCACCAAGCTATTAGGGGAAGAAATTATATTAAAGATCATAATTTGAATGTCTTATTAAACAAACTAATCAGAAAAACAAAACAAAGCTTTCAACAGATTGACTTCGCTTCATTTTGACTAATAAATATGGCAAGTGCAATTGTGGTTGTTGTCCTCTCAAAGGTGTTGGAACTAGATTCTCAGAATTCTGCAAACTGAAAACTCATTCTAGAACCTCATATTTAATAGCTATAAAATGAAAATACACATTATATACTGATAGTGTGTGTGTATAGATAGAAAGTAAGTAGTCGATCAAATAATTTATATACATTTCTTATCTCACTATTTGAAAGACCTTACATTTGTCAGATACTTTCATTAAGTCAGTCAGTGGCAACACCCTCCCATTTTCCCTGAGTTTTGGTGAGAAGACTGTCCCAGAAGCAGTAGGTTTAATGTTTGTTTCGTTATATTATGTAACTAAAGGTTAACTCCACCTACAGGTTGACTGGGAATTGGACAAATGAGTGAAGAAACTCAACATGACTCACATGTACTTATATTACATGAAAACAGATTACGCCTTCCTAACAATAAAGTGAGAACAGAGACGGTTTATAAAAAGAACATGGTTAACAGGGTGCTGTTTCTTCTGCATAATGATTTCTGCCTTAGTTTACTAGAAATAGAATCACCATTAAAAGAAATTAGTTTGTATATTTTGAATCTTTAACAGATACAAACACTTCTGAATGCTACTAATTCATTAGGTTAATTTAACACGTACCTTCTAAAATTTATATTTAAGTAATTTAGTCTCCTATCAGGGAGTAAAGTGCACTCTGGAAATTTTTTCTTTTATAAACAAAAAACACGGCCGGGTGCGGTGGCTCCTGCCTGTAATCCCAGCACTTTGGGAGGCAGAGGAGGATGGATCAACTTAGGTCAGGAGTTCGAGACCAGCCTGGCCAACATGGTGAAACCCTATCTCTACTAAAAATACAAAAATTAGCTGGGTGTGGTGGCAGGTGCCTGTAATCCCAGCTACTCTGGAGGCTGAGGCAGGAAAATCACCTGAACCCAGGAGGCAGAGGTTGCAGTGAGCCGAGACTGCACCACTGCACTCCAGCCTGGGCGACAGAGTGAGACTCCGTCTCAAAAACAAAAAATACTAGGGATTAACAAAACTGGTAAAAAATGAACATAACCTAAATATGACAACATACGGATAATAAAAATTAAATGAGCATAATGAGACTGAGGATTAAATATGGTTAGTATCCATTAAATCTCCGATAAGGATATAATCGTTGTTTTGTTTGTTTGTTTGTTTGAGATGAAGTCTTGCTCTGCTGCCCAGGCTGGAGTGCAATGACGCAATCTTAGCTCACTGCAACCTCTGCCTCCCGGGTTCAAGTGATTCTCCTGTCTCAGCTTCCTGAGTAGCTGGGATTGTAGGCATGTGCTACCACTCCTGGCTAATTTTTGTATTTTTAGTAGAGACGGGGTTTCACCATGTTTGCCAGGCTGGTCTCGAACTCCTGACCTCAGGTGATTCACTCAGCGCAGCCTCCCAAAGTGCTGGGATTACAGGCGTGAGCCACCATGCCCAGCCTAATCTTTGTTTTAATAAGAGAATGTTTTTTAACTTTTTAAAGGAGTAGTAGATTTGTTAACAGAGCAAAAGTTGTAAAACAAATAAAGTGTAAAAATAAAGCTGGGCAGAGTGGTACGTGCCTATAGTCCCAGCTACTCTGGAGGCTGAGGCTGGAGGAATCCTTGAGCCCAGGAGCTGGAGTCCAGCCTGGGCAACACAGTGAGATTCCATCACTAAAAACATAAATTAAAATATACTACATTTGCCATGGCTTGTGCCTGTAATCCCAGCTACTTGGAAAGCAGAGGTGGGAAGACTGCTTCAGGCCAGGAGTTCAAGACCAGCCTGGGCAACATAGTGACATCCCATCAATAAAGACCCATCTATAAAACATCATTACATTACCTAAAGATAAGTGCTGTTAATGGTCCACAGATTTCTATATTTTAACTAAATATTAAGAACTTACTGCACCTTGTATTCTCTTGAATATTATTCTTTGAAAACGATTTTCAATGGTTATTTTTGCTTCCAATTGCAAAATATATAATTATAAAAAATGTGGGAAAATAGCAAAAAATAAAGAAATCACAATCATCTCAAACTCAGCCAAAATGGAGCTATGTAATACCTTGCATCCTGTTTTTCAGTACAGGTATTATTTTAAACCCTTTCCCATCCCTATACAATATATATATATATATATTTTTTTTTTTTTTGAGACGGAGTCTCACTCTGTTGCCCAGGCTGGAGTGCAGTGGCGTGATCTTGGCTCACTGCAAGCTCCGCCTCCCGGGTTCATGCCATTCTCCTGCCTCAGACTCCCGAGTAGCTGGGACTACAGGCGCCCACCACCATGCCCGGCTAATTTTTTTTTTGTATTTTTTTTTTAGTAGAGATGGGTTTCACCGTGTTAGCCAGGATGGTCTCGATCTCCTGACCTTGTGATCCGCCTGCCTTGCCCTCCCAAAGTGCTGGGATTACAGGAGTGAGCCACCGCGCCTGGCCGATGATATGATTTTTAATAGCTCTATAATATTTAATCATATGAATGGTTTCACAGTTTAACTCTCCTACTCCATATTCATTCCTTACTGTTAGATATTTAATTATTTCTAAGTTTTTAGTATTATATATGTTGCTGCAATAAACATTTTCTTTTTTCATTCTTTGTAGAGACAGGATCTCACTCTGTTGCCCAGGCTGGAGTGCAGTGGTGCGATCAAAGCTCACTGCAGCCTCAAACTCCTGGGCTCAAGCAATCCCCCACCTCAGCCTCCCGAGTGGCTGGGACTACAGATGCGTGCTACCACGCCTGGAAAATATTTTATTTTTTTTTGTAGAGATGGGGTTTTGCCATGTTGCTCAGGCTGGTCTTGAACTCCAGGACTCAAGTGATCCTCCTGCCTCAACCTCCCAAAGTGCTGCGATTACAAATGTGAGCCACTGTACCCAGCCTACAATGAACACTTTTATACTTAAACGCTTGACAATATAGATGAATACTTGCTAAAGGCAAATTGTTAGGTTAAAAGGTGTGTTAAGTATTTTAAGGCCCTTGAAATAGGAACACTTGAAAAAGTAGAAACACTTTTCCAGAAAGGTTTTATCAATCTATAATCCCAGCACAGTACCTGATAGTGCCTATCTTGGTATATTCCCACAAGTAATGAATATTAGAAACACTTTAAAAGTAATTCTCAATTTGATAGATGGACAATAGTATCTTTCTGTTGTTTTTAAATCACATTTATCTAATTACTGAAGGGGCTGGTGCTGTTAAAAAATCATGTTTTTACCATTGGTAATTTTATTAGTATTTGATATGTCTTCTATACCCTTTTCTGTTGAAATTCAAGAGCTTTTCCTATTGATTAAAAAATGATTTATACATTAGGGCCATTATTATACTTGTAACTACTTTATTCTAGTTTGCCAGTTGTCTTTTCTTTATGGCATGTGTGCATATATATAAGTATATATATTTTTTTGAGATGGACTTTCGCTCTGTCGTTCAGGCTGGAGTGCAGTGGTATGATCTCTGCTCATGCAACCTCCGCCTCCCAGGTTCAAGCGATTCTCGTGCCTCAGCCTCTCACATCTGGGATTACAGACGTGCACCATCAAGTCTGGCTAATTTTGTATTTTTAGTAGAGACAGGGTTTCACCACGTTGGCCAGGCTGGTCTCAAACTCCAGACCTCAGGTATTTGCCCACCTCGGCCTCCCAAAGTGCTGAGATTACAGGCGAGAGCCACTGTGCCCAGCCTATTTATGGTATATTTTCGGTAAGTGGAAGGCGTTTTCTGTTTCTACTAAACAGCCAGCACAATTTTTATTTTTATGATATTTTCATTAGTTTTATCCTTAAAATTGTTCCCCATTACAGACACTGATGGTCACATATTTTCTTTTCTTAAATTTTTGCTTTACATATAATTCTTTATCTGGTGTTTTATTTTTGTGTATGGTACAAGTAAAGTGAGAAGCCAACTAATTCTTCTTCAAATAACCGACCCAGCATTGTTCCCTAAATTATCCCTCCTTTCTTCGTTGACTGAGCTGCCATCATACCAAGGTTTGGACTTTGATGTATGCTAGGTTATTACCAGCCTGTCTACTCTGCTCAATGGATTCATTCATGTTTTTATCTCCATAACTTTACAGTAGTACATTGAAGAAGCTCTTCTCCTCTATACATTCTTCTTTTTCATAACTATCTTGGCTATTTCCAACCATGTGTATTTCCAAATGAACATCAGAATCATTCTTATGAGGGGGAATAACCTCCACCAATTAAAAATAAAAAAATAAAGAACAGACAAAAACCCAAGCTCTGACTGAAATTAGGTTAAATATCTAAGTTTAGGAAATACTAAAATCTGTATAGCATATTTGGTTTTTTAGAAGAATAATGCCTCTCCAATTATTCAACACTTTTACGTCTCTCAGTAAAGTTTTAAAATTTATTTTTATTTTTATTTTTAGAGATAAGGTCTCACTATGTTGCCCAGGCTGGTCTTGAACTCCTAGACTTAAGTGATCCTCCCACCTTGGCTTCCCAAAGTGCTAGGATTACAGGCGTGAGCCATTGGGCCCAGCTTCCCAATAAAGTTTTATAGTTTTTGTTGTTTAAATTCCTTCATTCCTTCATAAAGATTCCTAGCTATGTTTTTTGGTGGCAATTGTGATGGGATTTTTCTATTATATTTCAGAAACAGTATAGAAGTATGAAGGAAATATATTTTTATGTATTTATTTTATATATGGCTACTTTACTCTTATTTATAATATCTAAGTTTTTAAAAAAATCTGACTCTTTTGAATTTCCTAGGTAGACAATCATACCACCTACAAATACAACTTGTATCCTCCTTACTAACAGGTATACCTGCTTTTGGGTATGAGAAGCTGTACCAAAACAAAGACATATAAAAGGGGAAAGAGAGGGTCTAATAGCTAAGAAGTTAGAAGCATGTGGGTTCAACTGAACAGAAGGCCCAGAGGCAGTCAAGGTCCTATAAAAGGGATAATAAAATTTACCTAATGTGAGAAGCAGAAGTTATAGTACTATCATGACAGACTGAAATCTAGAATTAGGCCTTCCTACTGAAACAGAGGACATCAGTAAATGAACTGCAAAGTAGAATGCTCTTTATATAAAATGATTTTATTCTTGGCTTTAGGATGAAAAGGAGTATGCACTTGGAAGGTCAGTGAGAAACAAATAATGGTACATAAATGAGGCAAGCAGAATCTAAACAGAATGAGAATTTTGGTGACAGGAGTGGTGATGACCAAACAGCAAATGCTAGATTTGATTATTGCTTGCATGTAGGGTGGAAGACTGACAGTGAAGAAAAGAAATTACCCTGTAGTATGATAAGGAAGCTGCAGAAGGGAAAAGATACAAGGGAATTTTGTTTGTTTGTTTGTTTGTTTCTAGCATGATAAGATTAAAGAGTTAACAAGACATCTATTTGGAAAGGCCTCCAAATAGAGAACAAGATATACACAACTGAATAAAAAAGGATAGCAAGATACATCTGAACGTCTTCTGCAAATAGTAAAGAATAGTCTTGTAGCAAGCCGTAGATACCGTAAGAAGATGGATCATATAATTAAGCTGGAGGAATATAAAAGCAGGACAGATTCTGGGCTACAATACCAGAATATACCTATAGTAATCTGAAGAAAAGGGGGAATAAAAAAATGACAAAGATGAAAGATGAAATGTTACATCAGACATAGGAAGAAAGAGTTCCAAAAATGACCTGAAGGAAATTCAACTGGGTCAAAAACAAACCCTGAATATATATTTTTAAATAAAAAATAGATAAAATGCTATATGACCTAAAAATTCCACTACTTGGTTTATAGCAGCTCTGCTCATAATTGCCCCAAACTAGAAAACAACCCAATTGGCCTTCAGTGGGTCAAGAGATAAACAAATGATAGTACACCCACACAATTAAATACTATTCAACAATAAAAAGGGATGTTTGACACATGCAACAACTTGGATGAATCTCAAAGGCATTATGCTGAAGACAGCCAGTCCCCAAAGGTTACATAGTGTATGACGCCATTTATATGACATTCTTGAAAAGATAAAACTACAGGGATGGAGAACACATTGGTAGTTACCAGGGTTACTAAAAAGAAAGGGTGACCAGTAAGGGACTGCATGAAGGAGTTTTTGGGGGTGATGCAAATGTTCTACATCCTGATTTTTACAGTGGTTCCATGAATCTATACATGTATGAAATTTCATAAAACTACATACAAAAAGAGAAAAATTCATTTTACAGCATAATAAACCAGATAAAATAATAATAAATTCTATTCTTTAATGCAATTGTATGTAGGATGACAGATGTCCATCAAAGTTTCTAAAGTTTCATTAGGTTTTATTTTTGTTCCTGAACATTACTTACAAATTGTTCTCCCTCCATATTTTAAAACCTAATTTCAAATCTGAGGGAAAAAAACTTCATTTTTCTGTATCATTGCATTTACTGAATAGATATCTAATGATAAATAACTTGCTTCCTAAAAAAAAATTCAATACCAAAAACTGTTCATCTTTCCATCTGGAGAAAAAATTGGAAATGAGGAATTGGAACTACAACCTTAACTTTGCCAAAGTACTTCTATACAGCAGGATATTAATTCTTGTCATCTTCAGTGACAACAAGGATACTTCTGTTTGTGACTGAAAAACTGTGAAATTTTACATTATTTTTTAAAGTTTTTTTTTTCTTCAAGGTTGTCTGCCCTACACAGCATGAAACAAAAAGCTGCTATAATATATGAGTTTTACTGTCAATGTGCCTTATGTTGTTGATGGAATCATGATTTCCTTCTCAGCCCAACCTCAAAAATCACGTATGTGGACAAGGACAAAGACAATACGAACACTGTTTGATTAAATGATCACGGAGGCAATCTGTTCTAAACATAATTCAGTACAATTCTGACCTTTTCAGAACCTTACTAATCTTGTTACCTGTCATCAGGTCCCTTACCCCACCTAGTCAGTACAATAACATCAAATTTTACATTGTGTGTTACTTAAATAAAAGCAAGATCTTATTCCAAGAAATTGGGAATTGGGTAAAGAAGATGTCAAGATTAACGTTCACAGACTAATATAGCTGATTCATCAATAAACCCTTTATCAAAAAAATTAAATTTCCACAGCACAATCCTCTTCCATTCATTGGCTTCTAGCTCTGTTTTTAACATCTGCAAAGTCTTTCTCCATAGAAACAGAGCTGACGCTGTTGAGCCCTGGCAACAGCTTTCAAAAGCGGCTGTTCTATATTTAACTAGTTTGACCTATATGCAAGTGTTCATCTCCGTCAGTGTGGACTGTCCAAAATTACAGAAGTGATGTTTTTCTTTATTATGTAACACACATATATATCCTGCATGAGGTCATTAGCTGAGTACATCAAGCCATTTCTGGATGTGAGAAAGGTATAACTGAAAAGGCTGGCTATAATTAATATCGAACTGGAAATTCTTTGCTAACTCAATTTTATCATCAGTAGTTTAATATTTAAATTGCTTGCAACTTTAAAAACAGCACCAAAGTTACCTATGTAGCCATGTGGTTAACTATCACAACTGAGATGTTATAAAATGCTTCTCCATATGGCATTTTAACTCACTTCTGCCTAGTGTTTAATCCTCAGTATCTCATTAGGGTCCGTTAGACCCAATCTCAGTTTCTGAGTTTCTGTTTTAAGTAGTACTATTTATAAAAATTGATATCTCATGACTTTTTTCCTTTTTCCAAAGAGCAAACAAACAAAACAAAAAACCCAATATTTAAAAAAATAGAATAAAATTCTATCTTACAATTGCCATTTGGATCTACTAGATCTTTTTATGAATCTAAGACACATTATGCTATTTCATCACACTAGAAATTACATCACTACTCATCAATTATTCTCAACTATGCTTAAAAAGGATTAAAATAAGAAAATAGAAGAATGAAGTCTTTGCCCATGCCTATGTCCTGAAAGGTATTGCCTACGGTTTTTTTTAGGATTTTTACGGTTTTAGGTCTTACATTTAAATCTTTAAACCATCTTGAGTTAATTTTTGTATAATTTTCTGCATATGGCTAGCCAGTTTTCCCAACACCATTTATTAAATAGGGAATCCTTTCCCCATTGCTTGTTTTTGTCAGGTTTGTCAAAGATCAGATGGTTGTAGATGTGTGGCATTATTTCTGAGGCCTCTGTTCTGTTCCTTTGGTCTATGTATCTGTTTTGGTAACAGTACCATGCTGTTTCAACAGTGTGGTGATTCCTGAAGGATCCAGAACCAGAAATACCATTTGACCCAGCAATCCCATTACAATCATTCGACTATAAAGACACATGCACACATGTTTATTGAGGCACTGTTCACAATAGCAAAGACTTGGAACCAACCCAAATGCCCATCAACGATAGACTAGATAAAGAAAACGTGGCACATGGAATACCATGCAGCCATAAAAACAGATGAGTTCATGTCCTTGGCAGGGACATGGATGAAGCTGGAAACCATCATTCTCAGCAAACCAACACAGGACCAGAAAACCAAACACCACATGTTCTCACTCATAAGTGGGAAATGAACAATGAGAACACATGGTCACAGGGAGGGGAACATCATACACTGGGGCCTGTCAGTGGGTGGGGGGGCTAGGGGAGGGATAGCATTAGGAGAAATACCTAATGTAGATGACGGGTTGATGGGTGCAGCCAGTCACCATGGCATGTGTATACCTATGTAACAAACCTGCAAGTTCTGCACATGTATCCCAGAACTTAAAGTATAATAAAAAATGACTAAATTACTTAGAAACAGTGAAACAAGTATCACTATGACATCACTCTTCAGTTTTCTTACTGTGTTGTGCAAGATATGTGTTATCTTTCAAGAAGGCATAAAAGAAGTCTGGAGCTAACATCTTTTGTGACCTCATTCTACATTTTATTGAATACGATTAAGCATTAACATTTGTAAGTTCTCTAGCCAGAATGACGAAGAAAATCTGAGGAAACTGTTTTAGAATTATTAGATGAGTCAGAAGTTGAACACAAAGAATAAGATAGGAGCACTTAGGACTCTAATAAAGATGCTGAAATTGATGATTATAAGTAAAATCTCAGTCTATGTGTCTTCAGATGATGATGCCCTACATACATTTTCTCAAACTCAAGAATCAATGAGTGAATAATATACTTTTAATCTAAGGACAAAGCATTTTCATTCAGTTACTTATTCAATAGAAAGTCTTCTTTGTGGAATATCTTGTGACAAGAAATGAGGCCATCCCATTTTGCTAAAAGGACACATGACAGTATTCTTTCATCTTTTATTTCATTTGTGCACCAAATTTTCTTGATATAGTTTAAAAGTAGACAGATGCTGAAGGCAGGTATTACAGAGAGATAGCCAGAAGAAATAGATGAAGTAGACATTAAAAAATTGGATTGACCATAAAAAACAGAATTGATCATTCTGAAAGGTATCTACAAATCTAAAAATAAAAATGTTTTGCAACTGTGGAACATATAATGGTCATCCTCTCTTCAACAAAATTAGGAGCCAAAGATCTCAAAAAAATTCTTAAAGCATTATGTTTTGATGCTGTAAGTGCAAGAAGAACCAGAAGTAATAATAATTTAGAAGCCAACAAAGATGTATTTGAAACTTAGAATCAGTATTTGTAAGTTCATGCAGGACAGCTGATGAACAGTTACTGCATTCAGAGGCTCCTGCCCATTTGGGGTATACAGGTTGAGTATCCCTAATCCAAAAATTCAAAATCCAAAATGTTCCAAAATCTGAAAGGTGCACCACACACAGGGGGTTACTGTATGATAATCTTTTAATCAAAACACAACATCAGCTGGGCATGGTAGCTCACACCTGTCATTTCAGCACTTTGGGAGGCTCAGGCAGGAGGATCGCTTGAGCCCAGGAGTTTGAGACCAGCCTGGGCAACCTAGGGAGACCTTGTCTCTACAAAAAGATTTTTAAAATTAGCCAGGTATGGTGGTGCACACCTGTAGTCCCAGCTACTCGGGAGGCTGAGGTAGGAGGACGGCTTGAGCCCAGGAGTTTGAGGCTGCGGTGAGCCATGATGGTGCCACTGCATGCCAGCCTAGGCGATGGAGTGAGACCCCATCTCAAAAAACCAAACCAAAACAAAAGCCCCCCACAACATCGTAGGTGGTGACTGAAACTGTTGCTGTTTGGTGTTGCTGTTGTTTAACAGCTTATCCAGGTATTCTGGTGATGCCATTGTGCTGCTTAGTTACCCTAAACTCACTATTTTTTCACTGTATTAATGGTGTGTCATATTTTTTACTGTTAAGTACTTGTGTCTCAATACATGTATGAAAACGATTATTTATCAGGCATATAAATTTACACTCAGAAACAATGGTGATGCCAACCAACCACAGACCATCCACATCTAGTGGCTGAGATAGTGATGCCTTAGCTTTCTGATGGTTCAATGTACACAGACTTTGTTTCAGTAACAAAATTATTTAAAATATTGTACAGAATTACCTTCAGGCTGTGTGTACAAGGTATATACAAAACATAAATGGATTTCATGTTTAGACCAGAGTCCCAACGCCAAGATATCTTAATGTATATGCAAATATTCCAAAAACCAAAATCCAAAACACCTCAAGACCAGGGAAACATGGCATAAAAATTTTATTTATATATTTAAGTTCTTATTTAATTTTTAATAGTTTTTTATCTCTTTATTCTTGTATTTTGTAAATTATTTGGAAAATAATCTAAAATAATTTTTAAGCGGAGTTTATTCAACCTAGATAGTATATGGTGATGACTGTTTTTCTTGGTACACTGAGGTAAGTTAAAAAGATAAGTGAAGCAGAAACAATCTTAGTATTAGGAATGAACTGCAAAACTGACTGGTTCCGGGACTTTCTGAAGAGTTGAAATAGTGAATGGACTTGCACCAACCCACCAAGACCCACACCTGCTAGAACCAATGAGACTGATCTAGCTGGAGACCTGAACAAGAACTTAATGAAATGCTGGAAAGCAGGAAAGGAAACGACCTTGTATAAAATTGAAACAATTAAGGACCCAACAAGCAGACTTAAAGCACTAAGAGGATTGCTATAAAGGGAATATTTAATATTATTTTACCCTCAACAAAAATTTTAAATGGTAGGATAGATTAATTCAGTACAGCTTACTAGGTTTTTTTTTTGAAGACGAGATGTTATATTTCTGAGTGTTATTCATGTCGATCTATGTAAATCTATTATTCATTTTATTTTTTTGAGACAGGGTCTCATTCTGTTGCCCAAGCGGGAGTGCAGTGGCACTATCACAGCTCACTGCAGCCTTGACCTCCCCGGCACAAGTGACCATCCCACCTCAGCCTCCTAAGTGGCTGGGACCACAGGAATGTGCCACCATGCCTGGCTAATTTTTAATTTTTGTAGAGGTGGGGTCTCACTATGTTGCCCATGATGGTCTTCAACTCCTGGGCTCAAATGATCCTCTGCCTTGGCATCCTGAAGTGCTGGGATTACAGGCGTGGGCCACTGTGCTCAGCATATTCATTTTAATATCTGTATGCTATTCCATTTCCTACTAAGGAAGAGTAATGATGTTTCTTTTCCCTCTATTACAAATAGCATGACAATCAACATCCTGGTACATGTCATGTTGTTTATCATAGGTAGTGGTCTTGAAGTAGAACTCATGGGGTTTGTGCATTTTCATTTTTGTAAGATGTCAAATTTATTTGCAAGATACTACCCACTTGGTATATTCTTCTAGTTTATACTCCAACTAGCAATGTATATGAGACCTTGTTTCTCCATAACCCCACAAACTCTTGGTTTTACCAGCTGTTGTAAATTTTGCCAGGTTGTTTAAGAAATAATCCCTCTTTTATTATACATTTTCCTGAATATCTTTTCATTTGCTTTTCTTCAATTGTGTTCTTTCTCTGAGAACTACGTGTTAAATCCTTCGACAGTTTTTTTAAATTGTGGTATTTATATTTTTCTTATTATACAAGACTTTTTATAGAGAATTTATTATAGAGGATGCCAATTCTTTGTAGATTATATACACTGCAAATATCTTCTCCCAGTTTGAGACATTTGTATTCAGTGTAATTTGTCATACAGAATTTTCTTTATATTAATGTAGCCAAATTAACACTTCCAATGGATTTACTTTCTGTATCAATTCTTCCCTAGCCTCAAATCTTAAAACATTTTTGCCTATTTTTCTTCTAAATAAGTTTTCCTCCTATAAATTTTAGTAGGCTTTTATGTTTTTGTTTTTTTGTAAATCCACTTGCAATTTTGTATGCTGTGAGGTAGGAATTGCATTTTATCTTTTTCCAAATAGGTAGTCAATTATCTCAGCTCCGTTTAAGGCACAGCCAGCCTATTACTCCCCTCTGATCTGTATCATCACTTGTCATAGAGCAGGCTCTTCCTTCCTGTGTTCTATTGTTTCCTTGGTCTGTTTTTGCATGAATATATAACATTGTTTCAATTACTATTGCTTTCTAGTAAGTCTTGATATGTGATAAAAGTAAATCTTCATTATTCTTCAAAATTCTCATAACTCTTCAAGCCTCAAAAAAAATTAGAATCAAGTTGTCAAATGTTAAAAAATTCCTATTAGGCTTCACTGGAAATACACTCAACTTACAGACCAAGATGGGCAGAACTCATTTTTATGACATTGTCAGTTCTCCCATACATGAACATGTTATATCTTACCATTTATTAGCTGCTTAAAAAAAGATTTTCAAAAATGTTTAGAATTTTCTCCTTAAAGGTCTTGCACATTTCCTGCTAGATCGAATCCTAGGCACTTTACATTCTGATTTCTGCTATAAATGAAATTGTTTTTAAAATTACCTTTTTATTATCATCACATTGTCTTTGAGTCTTGTTATTTCTTTCTTGCCTTCTAAAGTATTTGAATTTCCACTGTTTCTTTCCCAGCTCCTCCCTATGCTTTGGAAAAGTTTGGGCACAATGTACAACTTTCACATGCACATTTGACTTAATGTTAACTAACATTATTAGCTTCTTTTTTTTTTTTTTTGACATGGAGTTTCACTTTTGTTACCCAGGCTGGAATCCAGTGGCACGATCTTGGCTCACTGCAATCTCCGCCTCCCGGGTTCAAGCAATTCTCCTGCCTCAGCCTCCTGAGTAGCTGGGATTACAGCTGTGCGCCACCAAGCCCAACTAATTTTTGTATTTTTTTAGTAGAGATGGGGTTACACCATGTTGACCAGGCTGGTCTCAAACTCCCTACCATCTTCCCCAATAATATAAGGAGCTTACATGAATTTAATCTACTTCCCAAACGTTTTTTTCCATATTTTAGTTCTATCCTTTAAAAATATTCATATCATTATTGTTTTTCTCAGTGAATGCTATTAAAATTTATTTTTAAAACTTTTAATTGCAAAATACATCACACATAGAGAAAAGTTACAAAATGTGAATATATGCCTCAATGAACTGTCACAAAATGAACGCCTACGTAATCATAAGAAACAGAATACTGCTAGCATCCTGGGAGCACCTCCTCACAACCCCTCCCAAGCACTCCTCCCTGACCTTTCCCCATGGGTAACCACAATCTGATTTTTATGGTAATAATTCATTTTCCTTTATAGTTTTACCACCCAAGCATGTGTTGTTAAACACTATACTTTAGGTAAGCTCTCTATAAATGGAATCACACAGTATGTGTTTTTTGAAATCTGGTTTCTTTTGCTCAATAATTTATTTGTGAGATTCACAACTGTATATAGCTGTAGGCTATTTATTTTCATTACTGCCTTGTATTCCATTATATATTTCTATGATCATTCATCCATTTACTGGATATAAAATTCTAAGTTGACAGTTATTTTCTTTCAGCTCTTTAAAAATGGCCTTTGATTGACTTTTTGTTTCCATCATTTCTATTGAGAAGACAGCTACTAGCTAGTTGTTGCTTATTTGAAGGTAATTTTCCTTTGCTCTCTAGCTCCTTTTAAGATTTTTCTCATTTTTGGTTTTCAGCAATTTAACAATAATGCCTATATATGTAGAGTTCTTTGGTATTTCTCCTGCTCAGGGTTCATATCATTTCTGCAATTTATGGACTAATGTTTTCCATCAGTTTTAGAAAGTTCTAAACCATTTTCTCTTCAAATCCTGATTTTGATTCATCCTCTTTCTCTTGCCTTTCTGGAACTTTAAATACACGCACCAGACCTTTAAACGGTATTCTCTCTCTCTCTCTCTCTCTCTTACTCTCTCTTAATTCCTTTCATTCTTTGTCTCTGGTTATTTTCATCTTATATCTTTCAGTACACTAATTCTCTCTTCAGATGTGTCTAACCTGCTATTTAAACTCATTCACTTGAGTTAATTTGACTTACTGATTTTCTCAGTTCTAGAATTTATATTTGTTTATTTTTAGTTTCCAGTTCTCTGCCAAAAATCTGTCTTGTCTTTTATCCCCTTGAATGTGGTAAGTATAATTATTTCAAAAGTCTGTATCTGAGAATTCCAATATCTAGAGGCTGTTTGAACCATCTTTTCTTTTTCTTGATGTTGTTTGTGTATCTGTTTCCAGTTGCTTTTGATTATAAGCCAGACATTGCATTTGCAAACTAGAAACAATTTGTGACCTTACATGATACCACTTTCTTCCAGGAAGGATTTACAATTCTGCCAGATGCCTAGGGGCACTAGCAATTTAGGAACCCTCAATCTAATTTTAGGGACTGACATGATTCAAAGCTGATCTGCAGCCTCAGTGAGAGTATGTCTACTCCTGGTTAACCCTTGCTCCTATGGTGTAGCCCTTCAGGGTCTTGACTCAAAATGAGTTATGTTCATCAGGTGTCCCCTCCTTAGGGGCCATGGGCACTAATCTCTGCCCCCATTACTCCCACTAGCCTGTCAAAAGGGCTGCTTAGGTTTTAGCAGCTTCCTGCAGAACTGGCTAATATCTCGAGAGGAACAGTGACCCAGTATACCAGGAGGACCTTTGTTCTAGGCCTCCATTTTTCTTCTTTGATACCTTCAAGCAAAACATGTTTAAATATTGTGTTGAGCTTTTCTGGTAGTCTTCAGTGGAACACATGACTCAAATGACCTAATTTGCCACTACTAGAAGTAGAACTCCCAGACTTTATCTATATTTTCACCAATTTCATTGCTCATCATTGTTTCTTGGCTCTACTGTTTCCTTCTGGGTTCAACTTCCTTCAGTCTCAGTACATCTTGCTTCATAATCTTCCAACAAGCTTCTGCAACTAGTTAATTCTATTATCCTTTGCCTGAAGAAAAAAAGTCTTTATTTCACCCTCATTCCTGAATGAGAATTAAGCTGGGTATTAACTTTTAAGTTGACAGTTATTTTCACTTAGCTCTCTGAAGATATTATTCTACTGTTTTTTGTTCTCTCTTTCTGTCATGGAAAAGTTTGCTATCAACATAATGGATACCCCTTTGTAAGTCATCTCCATGTCTTTCTTTTGTTACTAAGATTTTTTTTCTTTGGCATTCTCCTATAACAAGTCTAGAAATAAGTTAATTTTCATTTATCCCATATAGGCTCATGGTGCTACCTGAATCTGAGTACTTATGTCTTTATTAATTCTAGAATATTCTTAGTCATTCTCTTTTTGAATAATGCCTCTACACTATTCTATCTGGACTTCTTGTTTTAACTCTCTCATCTCAACTTTCATCTTCTCCATCCCTTTATCTCTCTGTGCTACATTCTGGGTGATTTCTTTAGGTTTATTCTTCTGTTTACCACTTCTCTCTTCAGCTGAAATTTGTTGTCTTATCTTAAACTTGGTTGCTGAGTTTTAAATTTTCATGACTACTTTTTCTATTCCTTTCAGCCTAGGTTGTTGGAGCACCCCCTGGGGTTTGCTTATATCTGACAACTTATGCTATCACTAGCCCAGGACTAATTTTTTTCTTCCTTAACATAGGGTCTTGCACTGTCACCCAGGTTGGAGTGCAATGGCACAATGAGAGCTCACTGCAGCCTAGAACTCCTGGGTTCTAGTGACCCTTCCATCTCAGCCTTCCAAGTAGCTGAGACTACAGGCATGAGCCACTGCACCTGAATAATTTTTTTAACTAATTTCTCAGCTTCGGGTTTCAAGCCACATAGGTAGCATACATTCATTCAAATTCTAAACCAGCATGAACAAGGATCCATGGTTTACAATTCCCATGGGAGGCCGGGCATGGTGGGTCACGCCTATAATCTCAGCACTTTGGGAGGCCAAGGCGGGCAGATCACCTGAGGTTGGGAGCTCGAGACCAGCCTGACCAACATGGAGAAACTCCATCTCTAGTAAAAATACAAAATTAGCTGGGCGTGGTGGTGCATGCCTGTAATCCCAGCTACTGGGGAGGCTGAGGCAGGAGAATTGCTTGAACCTGGGAGGCGGAGGTTGTGGTGAGCCGAGATCACGCCATTGCACTCCAGCCTGGGCAACAAGAGCAAAACTCCATCTCAAAAAAAAAAAAAAAAGAAGAAGAATTCCCATAGGAGATTTCCCAGCTTCCATTCCAGAACCCAGGCAGTTAAATATTTTTTGTTAATTTCCCTGTGGTGGCAGCAGATATTTTCTAGTCCACTCTTTTCATAGACACAACCCCTTTGAAGGTACCAGTTCCTAGTCCACACTGTAAATGGATTCAAGGACTCATGTTCTGTTCCCTAGTGGGTACTAAAACCCAAACCCATATATTATGAAACCAAAAGCTGCAGCCCGTATCTTACGACTCTAATTTCCTGGAGATCCAGTTTTCTTTCTGAAGAGCTCAATTATGCATTTAAAATGATTTCAGTTATGTTTTACCCAGAACTTTTAAAAGTTTTATTTTGTGTTTAATTGGCACATAACTGTGCATATTTAAGGGGTACAGTGTATACCTAGCATTTGAAGGTGTTTATAGAAGGAAGGTTTTCTGGTTACCTAGTCTACTGTATTGCTAGAACCAGAAATCTCATGGCATTGTTCTTAAACTGTCAATGAAAAAAATATGTTAGTATTAGGATAATTAATCAGAACAGACAAACAGAACCAATAGAATGTTCGTGTGTGTGTGTGTGTGTGTGTGTGTTTTCCTTATGATAAATCTCTATGAATATGTATGTATGCATATACACCCACATATATATGTCAGCCTCCATAATCGTTTTAGCCAATTCCTTGGGATAAATCTACAATTTCAGAGGCTGACAAGTCCCAAGATCTGCTGTCAGCAACCTGGTGACCCAGGAGAGCTAATACGCATTATTTAGTTCCAGCCCAAAGGCCTCCAAGCCAGGAAGAGCTGATGTTTCGGTGTGCATCCAAACCAATGTCCCAACTCAGGGCAACCAGGCAAGTCGAAATTCCCTCTTACTTGCAGGAAAGTAAGCCTTTTTGTTCTGTTCAGGCCTTAAACTGATTGAATGGGGCCTGCCCACATTAGGGAGGGCAATCTGCTTTATTCAGTCTATCAACTCAAACGCTAATTTCATCCAGAAACATCCTCACAGACACAACCGAAATGTTTTACCAAATATTTAGGCACTTTATGTCCTAGTCAAGTTGACATGTAAAACTATCAGAATTAGTAAATTCTAGCTTGATTTTTAAATAATTTCATTTCTGAGACGCAAATCAAGCTTTCCTTTGAGCTCTGACAACTCAATCCTGTCACTCTATAACTGAGCAAGACTCAGTGTTAAGTAAGATAGCTTTTTGCATATGAACCTTACATAATACGATTTCATAAGTCTATTTATGGATTTAATTTCCCCTTTTCTTCCAAAGGATAAATGAGCACAAGTCTCTGGAAGCAATATGGAATAAAAGTGTCACCTGAAAATATATTCATGACCTATTTTTGCAAAACCTCTGGCTTACACAATCACCTACCTTTGTTTATAGGAATATGTGGGCAACAACATCTGCTCATCACGTAAATCTTCCACAGTCCCTGGTGCAGTGCCATATATAACCTAGGTACTAGGTAAATTTACCTGTAAGTTGCTTCAAAATATAAATCAAAGCAACAAGTTTGTCTCCATAACTCTGGGTCTCATTCATCGTATAGCGAGTGATAAACTTTTACTAAATCACACTTATGTTCACATTACCCTCCTTTGCTCCTCTTCAGCATCAGCAAAAAGTTTGCGAATGTTAGCCTCTGATTCTCCCACATATTTGTTAAGGATTTCTGGCCCATTGACCACTTTGGGCTCTCTTGCATTCAACATCTTGCCAATCTGTCGAGCCAAGAGAGTCTTACCACAACCTGGGGGTCCATATAACAGGATGCCTTTAACATGTTTACAACCTGAAAAGGAAAAGAAAACAGTCTTATATCAGCTAACTAGAATCTAAGTAAGACTCTAAAGGAAAGTGTTCTTTCTTCTTCGTATGCACTTTAGGAAAAACACAGTGATGCCATTCACATATGTTAATGTCCATGAGCCATGAACAAGAATATACAGCCAAAAATCCAGAAACAATTCCTATAACTGTACTAAAGTTTGAGGGGGAAATGCTGCCAGTTAAAGGTCTCTGGAAGAGTCCATTCATGCTATGATTTTGAACAAATACTTTTTACTCTGAAAATGTCTAACTGGGAAATATTACTTATTTTTGGCTGGGTGTGGTGGCTCACTTGAGCCCAGGAGCATGAAACCAGCCTGGGCAATACTTTGTGACCCTGTCTCTATAAAAATAAAAAATTTGCTTTGTTTTACATATAACGATAAATTATATATAATTATTATATATCATATATGTGTATACACACACACACACACACACACACACACACACCCCATGGAATACTATTCAGCCATAACAAAGAACGAAGTCACATCTTTTGCTACAACATGGATGGAGCTGGAGGCCATTTTTCTAAGTGAAGTAACTCAAGAATGGAAAATCAAATACCATATGTTTTCACTTACAAGAGGGAGGTAAGTTATGGGTACACAAAGGTGTACAGAGTAATAGACTTTGGAAACTCAGAAGTGGGGAAAGTGAGGGCATGAAACCAGCCTGGGCAACACATTGTGATGGCAGAAAATTAAGAAGTGGGGAAAGTGAGAGGGGAGTGAGGAATAAAAAACTAATATTGGGTACAGTTTACACTACTTGGACAATGGGTCCTGCACTAAAATCTCAGACTTCACTACTATATAATTCATCCATGTAACCAAAAACCACTTGTACCTCAAAGGTTATTAAAATTATATAATATCTTTATATTACACCCAAAAAAGCACTCTGTGAAATAATAGATTATCAGGTTTCAGTGTCACACTCCTAAGTATGGGTAAAAAGGGAAATTTCTGAAAATGCAATATAAATAGTGTGTCGCCATGGAAAATGGTTTGTCCTTATCTGAAATGAAAGCATTAAAAAGTATATCTTTAAGAAAAAAAGTACAATACATTTGATGACTCAAGTAAAATCACAAGATGCAAACAACTCTATTAGAAATTTTAGATTCTGAGGAGGAAGACCCTTTGGGCTGTCAAAATTGGTCTTCACTTCCTCCTTTATGCTGAGAAAAGACTCCTTTTTAAATCCTTGAAAGTAATAAGAACTGTGCCTTTGGTTGAACATGGAGAGGGAGGGGAAACACTTGATGGCTTACAGTCTTAACCCTCTGCATCACAGAGTAAATCCCTTCCCTAAGAACCACTGCCCAATAAAATGCTTTTTGGCCTTTGACTCACCCTCCAAGTATGAGTGGTAGGGAGATAACAGGAGAAGCCTTGAGCTTCTCCTAGAGGCCAATACCACCAAGCACTACCAGCATCTAAGTTACAGGGACACGCTGGATTAGCAGCACGTTGAAGTCTGGCTCCTAATCTTGCCCTCTGAGCCAACTGTTACCATCATGATTTGAAACTATTCATATGTATAAACTGTAGCTGAGGCAGGTGGTGGTGGTGAAACATTCATAGGGAGAGGACATCCAGAAAGAAGAAAATGAAGATTTTCTGAGTTCCTACAAAGCACCAGCCCTTCTGATCTCCAACTTCTTGACTTCTACATTTTCTCCAAGTTTATCAACTTCCTCTTAACCATACTGCCTTCCCTAGTAAGCCATGCTTTCTTTGAAGGACTTTTAACTATTTATTCTTTGTAAATTTCTGTTATAACCACCCCATAGTCCCTGAATACAATATGGCTTTATTCACTACACATTGGCCACAATGTGTATAATTTCTCCATAGCACAGCTGGAGAAAATTATACCACTGTGCTACTGACTGATACCTCCAGAATTTCATGCTATCCAGTTTCAGTTCTATGCTCACTGCTTTCTCATGCCACTCTTTACTTGTCTTTGTTAGCTCATGTCTAATTCTCCTTATTAATTATCCAGATCTTCACTGTTCTTCTCAAGAGCTACCCCCTGCTATGAATTCTTAGAGATAACCTAGGTTCCTATTTCACATATCAAAAAAAAAAAAAAAAAAGACTTCACCTCTCTGCTTCTTTATCTATAAATTGATCAGCAGACTCATCCATTCTCAACCTAATCTCGGTTCTCAAAGTAGTCTTCCTTCCTCTCCTCCAAGGTTTATATTGCAATTCTCTGTTTACATGGCTTCTTCGCTATAAGACTGTAAACTATTCAAATGCAAGTACTATCTCATTCACCCAGCATAATGCCCAGCACCTACTATGGACTTCAGGAAAGGCTGAATAAGTAAACTGTTGATTCTTTTCCTACAAAACTCAAAGAATATGAAGGATTTTAAAAAATTATTTGAAGCTCTTAATTTATGGACTGTGCTTATTCTCATAGCTGAGCTAATTTAAATACTTAAAAAAAAAATACATTTGCAATGACTGAGACTTTCCGAATTTAACAAAACAACATAAACACAAGAATCTTAACTTTGCAACTATGCTTCTGTACACAGAAAATGCTCAAATTAATGTGTTTTGAACTAAATTTACTCAGATATTATAAAATAAACAATTCACAAATTATTACCATGAAGTTTAAAAGAGATAAAATGTTTACCCATGCAACTTATTATATATAATACAGATATGTGAAACGATAGAATATATTTAATATAACTTCAACAGGAATGTAATAGAAGCTCTAGTCTGCTTTAGAACTATAATTCTTTTAGGATCTCAAATGAGCACATCAAAAATATACACTGACATGTGAAGTCTTTCAAAATGTACTTCCACAAAGGAAGCTGTTACTTGAATAAGCAGTGGAAATGGGACTTTATTATTACTATTATTATTACAGCCTATTCTGACTTATTAAGTAAGCATTGGTCTCTAATTTTAAATGAGTCATAAAAACTCTTTATAACTAATTCCATTCAACAAAAGTGTACTAAGCTCATGTTTAGACTAGATGCAAAGGTAGCTGTTAGGGATACAAACATGAAAAAGACAGTCCCTAGCTGTAGGGCATTTCTGGCTTAGTAGGAAAGACAGAAATAAAAATAGGCTATCTACAATATAATATGACATTATCAGAGATATGTATGAAATGTTTTTGGACTCTAGCCAAGAGATACTGATTCTGCCAGAGTGATGGCAGAAAATTAAGAATGGACTCAGGTGAAGAGCTAACATCCATTGTGGGCCTGGAAGAATGAGTAGGAGGTTCACAGGCAATGGAGAGGAAATGCCACCCCAAAGAGAGAGACTAGCATGATCAAAGGCATAGGGATATGGACACAGACACTGTTCTCTCGAAACAGCCAGTAGTAACCTGCTGTAGCCAGAGCCCTGGAAGTGAGGAGAGGGCAGTGCCTGGCGACGAGGCTGGCAGGCTCCTAACTGGCAGGCCTTGAAACCATGACCATGATTTTTTAACTTGTTTCATAGGTGATTAAAACCCCACATTTTTGGGTGATTAGTCTAATCACCCTTAGGTGTAAGTGACAATCACGGAAGGCACACCAGGAGATATGTATTTAAAAGCTAACTGTGTTGGCAGAGTGGAGAAAGAACGAGAGACCAAACAGGCAAAGGAGGGGAGGCTAGCTGGGGGAATGTTCTGAACCTTTTTCTGGGGATACCAACTCACTCTGGATTCTTGCCAGTTAAGTTTTCATATCCCTCTAAGTCCTTTGGAAGCACAGGAACAAATGGGTCCAGGGGCCTCGGGAGGACACCCTCTGCTCCTGCTGATGCCCCAGCTTTCTCCTGAGCTTCTCTAGGATATTAAAGCCTGGATCTGATATTGAGGAGCCTCTGATCTCTGGCTGCTGGACTGACTGCCCAGCTGGACTGACTAATGCTGCTGTTTTATTCTTAATATCTTACATGCCACCTCACTCCTCAGAGATAAGTGCCTTAGGTTAGTGACCTAAATAACAAAGGCCAGGTATAGAACGAGAAATCAGTGGACCTGATTTAAATTGTCATTGTCTCTCATTCTATTCCTCTCTTTCCCACAGAACAGTCTAATGGACCTCCCCAGGAAAATGCACATGCACAAAAAATTTGCATACAAATTTGAGAGAGTTCTTTAATCCTTTGAGGTCCATCCATGGAATCCAAATTAGAAACTCCTGAACATATTACTGAAATAATCCAGACAAAAGACAATAAACAGAAAGAGGCAAGAGTCATAGGAAATAGTAGAAAAAGAAAAGAAGATGCGGGAGATACTCATCAAAGCTTAGAAACCAAATGGAAACCAGAGAAGGAAGAGGAGTCAAGGATGACCTTGAGGCATCTAGCATGGGTACATGGATAAAATGATGGTAACCTCAGGGATACCAAGACATAGCAAGAGGAAGAGGAATCAGTTTGGAGATTACAGGAAATCATTACTTGTTTTTGGCTATAAGGCATTTGACATTTAGGCAGTAGTGCCTATTAAAAATACTGGTGAAAGCTCAGAAAAGACATCAAAACTACTGCTTCAATATTTTTGAATGCCTGCCCTGGGTACGTGAAAAGCTGTGAAAAGTTTTAAGCAGAAGAATGTGACAACAGAGATAAATGCTGCAGTGATAGAGGATGAGGCCTGGAAAAAGGGCACTAGGTTTAGAAATCAGGAAATACATGCCGCTCTAGGCCACAGGGTCTTCGAACAGGGTCAGAGCATTTGGGGTTGAGTCCCTACCTTTCACTTAGAAGAAAACTAAGTAGCATAAGCAGATATGGAGACCACACTTTCAGGAACTTTGGCAACAGAGGAGGAATGGAGAGGGAGAGCTTGTAAAGACACCTCTCCTTCTGAGACCAGTTAAATAAAGGGACAAGGAGGAAGAAAGCTGAGGTTATTCCTGTTGGGTTCTGTTGACTATGTGAAGCAGGAACTAGGTCATCAACAAAATGAGGGATGAAGAGAGGATACTGGGAAACATGGTAAAGGTTTGGAAAGCACATGGGGAGTTGGGAAAATGTGTCTGAGCAGACGGACGCTGTTACTAAGTGAACTCAGCATATGAGATTCAGGTCATCGAGGGACCATCCTTTGTTGTATTTACATAAGCAATTCACAGTATTAGGTAAGGTGTAGATTCTTATTCAGTTCTATAAATACAAATTTCATCTAAGCTGGCATACAAATTTTGACCTTTTTGGTTTTACCCATCTCTTTTTTTTCAAATCTTAATTTTAAAGGTTAGCAATATGAGGTAAATAACAGGATTAAATTAATGTAATGTGCAGTCAACATACGTATAGCTCAATTCTATTATCTAATTTTCCCATCAAAAGTGTAAGGTAAAAACTATCACATGACTGTTTTCAACATTTTTTCCTCCATTTTCCACAAAGTTTGAGGCCTTAATCTTCAAAGTGATTCCCATCTTTTCTCCTTCATCTATAACTTACTTAAGTAAGAACTAAGGTGGGCTAAGGGTATAATCAAACATAGTTCCAAAGCATTTCTTCTCTCAATATCCTATGTCAAGTACTTTTTTAGAGACAGGGTTTCACTCTGTCACTCAGGCCAGAGTTCAGTGGTGTGACACAGCTCACTATAACCTGGAACTCCTGGGCTCAAGCGATCCTTCCAACTCAGCCTCCCGAGTAGCTGGGACAAGCACATACCAGCAAGCCTGGCTCAATTTCCTGTATCCGGGTATTTTACTGCTTGTTTTACTAATTGCTCCCGTTAATCATTTTCTAAAAAATACCTACTTTTTATTTGGATGAGGCACAAACATAGTAACAACTCTTGGTTATAATAAGAGAAAGGAAAGTGGTAGTAAAGAGTATAATCTCAAATGGCCAAAAATCGATTTTTATATATGGTTTTGGAATTTAAGTTGCTAATTACATTGGATATAGGAGCAACTGAAGTTCTAGGACATCACAGTCTTTCTCTCATTCAACCAATCATACATCTTGTGGTGGGAAGATGAAGAAGATGAAGAAGTTCTCTTCTGTTTGCCTCTATTTCCTCCGTGAAGTAAAGATTCCAGGTCATCAGCTGCTGGTAAAGATGGAAGAGGTGGTGCTTGGGGGTTGAGCCAAATAGAGAAGAAGAACTAGTCATCTCAGAGAATAGGAGAATAAATGGATTGGACTAGGGAAATACAGAAGGAATACTAGGAATATCTGTTCCAAGAAATACTGAGGGCTCACTTGAGATTTGGTTCATAAATTTAAAGTGAGATCAGACACTGTGGTTTTGTGTTTTTCTTAAGCCATGCTTAACAGCGAGAATACTGGCACAGAGTAGGCAGGTAGCTGAGAAACACTTGTGGATTTGACAACAGAAGATGAGGAGCAAGGCTGCTAAGGGTGTATACAAAGAGGATATATGTGATAGACCATGGAGGTTAAGCTGGGGAAAGAGGAGAGAGAGAACAAAAAGATTGGGAACTGATAGAATAAATTATACTGGAGGTTCCAGTGGGGTCCAAGTTGCTGGAGTTGGTAACAGGAGAAATGCTAGGAGTAAGCAAGGAAAAATGGGAGGCAGCGCGAGAGCAAGATGCTTACATCTGAGATCCCCAAAGTGGTGTGGTTGCTGGTAATGGCAAACAAAGTCTTGTGTATAATCGAAGAATGAGTGGCTGAGGTGGACTTAAGGAAAAGGTTAATGAAAACAAGGAGGTTGAAATCAGAAAATAAATCAGGTGAAAAATCTCTAAAGAACTTTAAAAATTACTAAGAGTCCCACTTTTCTAGTCAGTGGTTCTCAAATTTAGATTTCACAACTAGCAAAAGAACGTTTGTTTTCTTTAAACTGGAGAGCAGTGCTGTCATTGGGTTGTTTTAGTTTTAGTTTTGCAAGGTAAAGATTTCTTAAAAAAAAAAAAAAAAAAGAAAATCAAACCTGACATCGTCTATCACCACCATTTCATATAAAAAGTACATTTTAGTATTGAAAGGTAGACACAATCTCAGGTTAAAGGACAGTGTTTTCTGTTAAATAAACTCAGTTTTATGTGTAGTGTTAAAAGTGAGGGCTCTGCAGTCAGTTTGCCTGGATTCAAATCCTGGTTCTTCCACTAACTAGCTGGAAATAATAATAGTAACTACCTCAGAGAGTTACTATAATTAAGTATAATGCACATAAAGCACTTAGCATACTTTATGGTGGATAGTAAGAGCTCGTAAATATTGGCTATTAATTAATAGCTTATTTCTCTCACCTTTCTGCAGATGAGTGATGAAAATGGAATTAGACTCCCAACTGGTGACAATTAGATCACAATTAGGTTACCAAAAAACTTCCAAATAAATGACTATTTTACTTACCAAATTACTTCTGAGACTGACAGTTGTGACCATCTGCTCCTTAAAACTTTATCTACCAGAATTGTCACTTGAACTTCGCAAATTATAGTACCCATTCCACTGATGAACTTCACGCTCCAAATTAACATAGTAGTAAATGAGTTAGACTACAGCAGTTTCACAGACATGTTACTAGTGTTTTGGTAAGTCAAGATTCTTTGTAGCTATAGCCTCTCTTCCAGCTAGACTACTATCAGAGTCAATTCTGCCTGCTTCTACACAATGGAATACAATTCATCCATAAAAACAATGAAATTATGTCATTTGCAGCTACATGGATGGAAGTGGAGATCATTATCTTACATGAAATAAGCCAAACACAAAAATACAAAAATCAGATGTTCTCACGTATATGTAGGAGGTAAAAAATTTGAACACATGGAGGTAGAGAGTGGAAAAGTAGACAACAGAGACTGGGGAGGGTGACTGGGGATGAAGGGAGGCTAAGGAGAAGTAGGCTAAAGGTACAAACGTACAGTAAGATAGGAGGAATAAATTCAATGTTTGATAGCAGGGTAGGATGACTATACTTAATAAGAATATATTGTACTGGGGTGACAGATCCCTTGAATACCATGACTTGATCACTACATATTACATACATGTAAAAAATTTCTCATGTATCCCATAAATTTGCACAAATTAAAAAAAAAGTTTTAAAATCCTGCCTTTCTTATGCCTCAAACAGTTCACGCATACTGATTTCTCAAGCTTTCTAAGCTCACTTAAGGGTCAACATGTACCCATTCATAGAAGCCAAGCTACCATGATTATCAGTTCCACATGTGTACAGCCCTTGACCTTTTCTCCTGCCTCCTCTATCATAAGTATATTTATTTTCCAAAGTTCCCCTTTATCTTGCCAATTGCAACTACTCTCATCGCCCCTAACTGCCAGACATTGGAAAGCGGTCACTGCCCTTTCTTGGGGAGCACACACCCTGCTCTGCCGGCATTCACCTGGGACAAGCTGATTCTAGTGAAAGGAACTGGGGCTATTTCTGGGCACTTCATCCAAAAGTGTTTTTGCAACGCTAGATCAACATAGCCCATCCACCATCCTTTGCTTCTTAGTTTGAGGTGGATTAGTATTACCTGTATATTCTTTCTCACCTTATTTCTAGCTACAACTCTCAGTTAAATCAGCAATCCTCCAACAATATACAAAATTTGGATACTGTTTGAGCCACAGGTGTTGACATCCAGTGATTATAATAATACAAATTTTGGTGGGGAGAACTTTAATAGGCTTTAAGGTGTGTGCTACAAATAACTGAAAGTGATTTCTGATCTAAAAGTCAGAATAGGACCGTATCCACTATGATAGGTATATCCACCCCACTGATGAAAATGATTCATGAAAATACTTACATCTTATATGTAAATTGTAAATAGCTCGATAAAAATACATAGCCTTACTTCTGAAACACAAGAAATAAACAGCAATGTTTACTGTTTACACTCTTTCGAAACACCCGAAAAAAGTGACAAATTTGTACTTGTTAAGCTCTTCTATTTTACAAAGCAGTATATTTTCTTCATTTTTTCTGGATGTTATCAGAGGCAAGCTGCGTTGAGGAAAAACTGTCAGTCAACTTTGAGGTATTCAAAGGGAGAAAAAACTATAGCAAACACTAATTTTATATAAGAGTAAGCAGGATGATAATAAATTAGAAGTGGTCTCTGTCAAATTAGCATTAAGATAAGAGTGTTCAGTTCATTTTGGGGGCAACATGATCTATAAAGAGAGAAAGAAGTGCGAAGTGGGTTTTGAACAATGACTGATGTTTAAAGAGGAATCCCAAGTGGCTTCCAGTACAAATGCAGACTAGCCATGTTTGCCAAAGAAGGAGGCTATCAAAAGACTAGTAGCAAGTCAGGACATATTCGGCAGTCTTGCAAGCTTCTCTGTGCAGTTGTGCAAACCAGATTTGAGTGCTCAATTTTAAATAGTGCATGCCCTTGTAGAAAATATAATCACAAATTAATATTTCATCTTTTAAATATAATCATAATTATTATTATTATATTTTTTTCAGACAGAGTCTTGCTCAGGCTGGAGTGCAGTGGCACAATCTCGGCTCACTGCAACCTCCGTCTCCCAGGTTCTAGCAATTCTCCTGCCTCAGCCTCCTGAGTAGCTGGGATTACAGGTGCCACCATGCCCAGCTAATTTTTGTATTTTTAGTAGAGATGGGGTTTCACCATGTTGGCCAGGCTAGTCTTGAACTCCTGACCTTAGGTGATCCACCCATTTCAGCCTCCCAAAGTGCTGGGATTACAGGTGTGAACCACTGCGCCTGGACACAAATTAATATTTGATCATTTAAGTTTCCATAATTACAACTTCTCTTATGGTTCTGTTGAAAATTGTAAATTGGAACTAGAGTCATGAGTATTTTCTTAGTTCTACTTGACTTACCATTTCAGTAGTACAATATAATTATTTACTCTAAGAGCATAACTTTCATTGACTCATTATATAGGAGGGCCTTTTGTTTCAAAAACCTTTTTTTTTTTTGAGACAGGGTCTCACTCTGTTGCCCAGGCTTTGGAGGGCAGTGGCACTATCTCAGCTCACTGCAATCTCCATTTCCCAGGCTCAAGCCATCCTGCCGCCTCAGCCTCCCGAGTAGCTGGGATCACAGGTGCATGCCACCATGCCTGGCTGATTTTGTATTCTTTTGTAGAGATGGGGTTTCACCATGTTGCCCAGGCTGGTCTCAAACTCCTGGGCTCAAGTGATCAGCCTCCTCGACCTCCAAAGTGCTGGGATTACAGGTGTGAGCCACCACGCCTGGCCTTAAGACTCTCAATCAACATCTAAAATAGGTTGTCATCTACACTTGTTTATCTGTGCACTTATGAAATCTTTAAGAAATGGAAATACTTAAGACCAAGACCACTACTCCTGATACCATCTGGGCAGTCAGGACTTTGACCATCCATTTTCGTGGCACTATTCTGTCTGGTAGAGACTTGCTGTTGTCCCACCAACTTCAAAATGCCAAGAGCACTCTGAGTTTTGCTATGCTAGTGAAAACAGCCTATTTCCTGAGCACCAAGCAGCTGTGCAAGCTGTCTACCATCCGACTGGTCTATATCCAAATCAGTCAACTTAGATTTAATATAGATTTTCTCATTAGATAGCCTAGAACTAAAGATGAGATGTGTGTAGCAATGCTCCAAACTAATCTTTGCTGACACCCCCACCCTTTTACATTCCCTCATAGGGTGTTGCCTGGTATTTCATGAATTCTTGATGACAAAGATCATGCTTCTTCTATAGCAGGTCTGCCTTGCTGCCAAATGGCAGCATGTATCTTTACTGGTTTCAGAATTTTATAGTTTTTTCTTTCTTTGTTTTTTTTCCTTCTGTCCCTTAGCTTTTAACTCCTTTTATGTGCTGTTCTATTGGGCCCCTAATTCAGCCTAGCAAATATCTTCCCTAGCAGACAATTTATTTCTTCTTTACTACACCTGGAATTTCTACCTACTCTAACAGTTCATGTTCTTCTGTCCCCAGAAATCACCTCCTTTATTAATGCCACCTAATTCTGATCATATCTTTGGGCTCAATCCTTCAGTACTTAGAGTAGCAGCTGTCAACCTTTAATATGCACCAATGTCCAATGGAGCTTGTTAAAATGCAGATTTCCAGACATCACTCCTAGAAATCTGAATTCATTAAGTCTGGAGTGAAACTGAATATTTAACAAGCGCCCTAAGTAACTCTAATGTAGGCCAGAGGACACACTTTGAAAAACATCATTCATGGTTACAACTGACAATACATTATGTTGTTTTATTCTAAGAGTTCTTAGCTTATTTTTTTTAAGTGTATATGTTCTATAGCCTCAATTAAATCATAAGCTGATAAGGACACACTGACAAGTTGTAGCTATAGAAGAGAAAAGAGCTATTCTAACAAGATAAAAGTTATCAAGAATAGATGTTTTCTGTACTTGAGTACAGCTGGGGGAGATACAGTTTTGTGAGAGATGACTGGGAATTTCATTCATTAGTAAATTAGATAAGCATTAAGATAGAATGTCGATGTCAAAAATGTTAGCACAATTTCGGCCTACATTAAAGGACTAGTGTTTTAAATAAAGAATAAATAGTTCTGATCTATTTTACAACAGAGACCACATTTGCATTACTCCACTAAATTCTAGGTTTCACAGCTTAACATTAATATACATAAATGTTAAAGTTCACAGAAACGTGAATAGGATGGTAAAGGGCTAAAAAGACTGGCTAGAAAAAACCAACCAAGCTTAGGAGAATTAGCTTAGAGAAAAGAGGAATCTGCAGGGAAGTCTGGACAATAGCTTTCTTCATACCTAAAGAGTGTTCATAAAGAAGTAGTATCATGCTTGTTCTGTGTAGTTTCAGGGGAAGAACCAGAGCTTGTAGGAGAAGATACAAGCAAATACATCTTACCTTAACATAAGGAAGACTAAACTTAAACCTATAGTTGTCCAAAAGAGGAATGTAGCCTTAGGAGGGAGTGAGATTCCTGTCACTGGAGGAACTTAAGCTTAGCCTAAGGAACCTGGCAGAAGTTACTCAGCAGAAATGCAGAAGAGGGCCAGGCATGAGTAATCCCAGCACTTTGGGAGGCCGAAGCGGGTGCATCGCCTGACGTCAGGAGTTCGAGACCAGCCTGGGCAACGTGGTGAAACCTCGTCTCTACTAAAAATACAAAAGGCTAGGCACGGTGGCTCACGCCTGTAATCCCAACACTTTGGGAGGCCGAGGCGGGTGGATCACCTGACCTCAGGAGTTCGAGACCAGCCTGGGCAACATGGTGAAACCTCATCTCTACTAAAAATACAAAAGGCCAGGCACGGTGGCTCATGCCTGTAATCCCAACACTTTGGGAGGCTGAGGCGGGTGGATCATCTGACCTCAGGAGTTCGAGACCAGCCTGGGCAACATGGTGAAACCTCGTCTCTACTAAAAATACAAAAGGCCAGGCACGGTGGCTCACACCTGTAATCCCAACACTTTGGGAGGCCAAGGCGGGCGGATCACAAGGTCAGGAGATCAAAACCATCCTGGCTAATACAGTGAAACCCCGTCTCTACTAAAAATACAAAAAATTAGCCAGGCATAGTGGCGGGCGCCTGTAGTCCCAGCTACTAGGGAGGCTGAAGCAGGAGAATGGCGTGAACCCGGGAGGCGGAGCTTGCAGTGAGCCGAGATCATGCCACTGCACTCCGGCCTGGGCGACAGAGCCAGACTCCATCTCAAAACAAACAAACAAACAATCAAACAAACAAAAAATTAGCTAGGCATGGTGGTGCACGCCTGTAATCCTAGCTACTTGGGAGGCTGAGGCAGGAGAATCTCTTGAACCAGGGGGGCAGAGGTTGCGGTGAGCCAAGATCATACCACTGCACTCCAGCCTGGGCATTAGAGTGAGACTCCATCTCAAAAATAATAATAATAATAATAATAATAATAAAAAGAAATGTAGAAGAGATTCAAATAAAAAACAGGTGTGTGCACTAGATGGCTAAGATCCTTTGCAATACTGAGATTCTGTGATTCCTTTGATGTTCTCTGATAGAATCTGGTATTTTTGTACAGTAAGCTCTGAAATAAATATTCCAGGATGGAAAGGAAGAAGACTAAAGGCAAGGAAGATAATAAAGAGGCTACTGCTGTAGTGCAAGGGTAACTGACTAAAGCAATGAAAAAGAAAAAACAAATGATAAAGGCAGAAAAAATTTAGGAGTATTCAATAATAAATTTGACAAATGCATGAAAAACAAAGGAAAAGGGGATAGATGTATCATGACTCCACAGACCTAAAAAAGAAAGGTAACTGGGAAGGGATAACTACTTGTGGAACGAGAAAGAATGTAACAAAGTTTTAAACATTTCAAGAATTCATTTCAGTAAAAATTCTTATGGCGGACGGTGAAAGCATCTGAAGATATGTGGTAAAGGTCATCTAAAAATGACCACTAAATGCCTGGATAAAAGGAATTAATAAATTTAATGAAATACTGTCTTTCGGAAATGGGATTATTAGACCTCCTCTTTGAGTGGTACAGATCTGTGCTTGTGGACTGAGGGAGGAGGAAGGCAAAGGAAGTGTAGGAAGGAATAAAGGGTTCTATACCATGTGTTTGTAGTTAGGCAAGATTACCTGCATGTTCTGTGCATTTTATTTTACTTTGCTGTGCACATAGTGTATACACATGGTCCCCGACTTAAACTGGTTTGACTTTTAACAATTTTTTTTACTTTATGATGGTATAAAAGCAATATGCATTTGGTAATGCTCTTCGATTTACAATCAGTTACGACAAGATAAACCCATAGTCAACTGAAAATACTGTAAGTCAAAAATGCACTCTCAACTTAGGATATTTTCAACTTACGATGGGTTTGCTGAGACATAACCCATTGAGGGTTATCTGTACAATGAACAAGCAAGTCCTAATTTTACATCTTGTTGTCTAGATGATAAAGAGGTTGCTAATGTTTGACAAAAGAAGAGATGATGAACTAAAACATATTATATACTTTTCTTGTATGCCCGAAAACTTCATAGGTAAGACTATCTTCTGAAAACAACTTTTGGAACGCTGATATTGTCCTTTGGGCTGATAATGATAAGAAGGAAGTGAGAAGGTGAAGTGTACTTGGCTATAATATTCATATTTAGAAGATACTTTCAGATTATAGCCTTTGTTATATGCACACAATTTAATCAATGCTATCATTATACAGTAGACGTTTGAAACATGTAGTCTTCACAAAATAACACACTTTAAGTAAGTTTATGTCAATTAACAGGAATGACTGTCTTTAGAATGGAACTGTTAAACTTTTATCTCTTTGAGCTACATATTCTTTGCTCATTGGGTAGTAAAGGAGGTGGGAGAGACAGGAAGTGACGGTGGAAGAGTTCTGTGCCAGTGTGTTTTGAGATAAATGCAGATTATCTACTCGTCGTTCTGCAAGTGCATTTACTTAGCATTGTTGAGTATGCAAAGGACAAACAAGGCCCCAATGCTGAGAAGTGCCCAAAGTATGCTGAAAGTTTAAGAAGTAAAATGATTCTTTGATAAATGTCCTCTTGTTAGAGTTTTTAGCAAGGCTTGTTGTCTGGGAGTGACTGTTGTTAACCCATCTCGTAGAGCTATATGCATTTCTGTACTTATTCATTGAGCTGAAGAAGGAAGAAGAAAGGCAAAAGGAAGGTTCTTTGCAAGTATGTTCATATCTAGAAGATAGTTTCATATTGTAGCCACAGTTCTAGGAAGTGATTTTTTAGTAAAGTGCCTCTGTTTATCAGTCCTTACTTCACAACACTAAGCTTTCTAGATGTTATGAGGTGACAATGTATAAAATAGAGCTAGTGAATTAACTAGATAGTAAATTAATTTCATTAGAAAAGAAGCATCTTGGAAATGGCAATGTTAAACCACCTATGAGCAGTATACATCAGTACGTACTGGATTGCTAAGGAAGGGGCAGAAAGAAAGGTAAGGGAAGAGATATATATAGATATGTCCATATTTACAATCTGATTATAACCACTGACATATGTGTGCTTTTTTTTTGGTATACTTTGTGAATACTATATGAATTGTTAAATAATTAAGTAGAAACATCATTTCTGGTAATATTTTAATAGTGCAGATCTCATACTGAACTATCTAAGAAGCATTATACTTACTTGACTGCTTTGTATCTCATTTTATATTGGGTATTAAGTGAACACAGTATTTAACTATAAACCTGCCAATATGCATTTCCAGAGACCTGTTGCCATTTTGTTTTTTAAGATATTTTTGTCCCCACAAAAGATAAGAAAATGTATCGTGAATATTTACCAATGTCTGAATCCTAAAGCCCTGAGTATTTTGATACTCAAGTACTCATGATATGCAAGAAAGCATGGCACATACTATATAAGTGTAACCATGTAAAAAGGTATACTCAGTTATGTATATATGTATACACATACAAGGACTGGAAAGATACATCAGAATGTAAACTGATTCTGTTATGGATGATTTTTTAGTTATATGCCTCTTGTGTTTTTCAGTTTTCTATAATGAACATATTAACCTCTAAAAGTTGAAAAAATATAAATGTTATTTTAAAAAGAAACAAATAAATAATAAATGCATATAAGATCCAAGAAGTTACAGATCAAGGCCAGAACTGCAGATATGGGAAGGGCTATACTACGTGTTTTAATATGTTCTCTTACGTAATCATTTTTAAAACTATGAGCTAAGGTATTATTTTTACCCTCTTTTTAAGGAAGAGGTACTGAGGCTTACAGTGGTAAAGTGACCTTCCCCTGGTAAGGGGAAGACACATCTGGTAAGTGGCAGACCTGGAACTTGAATATCAATTTGCCTGACAAAGCTAAAACCCCAAGGAGAGCTCAGCTATTGACAGCGCTGTGTCTCGGCTTTGTGCCTGACACTCACATTCAGTGTACTTGAGAGCCTGGAAATCTGTATTTTTTTTAACATTAAAAATTCTGGGCCAGGCAGGGTGGCTCACACCTGTAATACCAGAAAAGGTGGGTGGATCGCTTAAGGTCAGGAGTTCAAGGGCAGCCTGGCTAACATGATGAAACCCTGTCTCTACTAAAAATACAAAAATTAGCCAGGCATGGTGGCATGTGCCTGTAATCCCAACTACTCGGGAGGCTGAGGCACAAGAATCGCTTGAACCTGGGAGGCAGAGGTTGCAGTGAGCTGAGATCACACGACTGCACTCCAGCCTGGGTAACAGAGCAAAACTCTAAAAAAAAAAAAAAATTCTGATACACACCAAAGACTGAGAACCACTGTGTTACTGAATAGGAAAGACCCCACCCCGCCAAAAAAAAAAATAAATAAATAAAATAAAATAAAAACAAAAACAAACTGAAGAAATGTGGTGAGCTCTTCAAAGCGAGAACAGACAATGCTCAACAGGAGGAGGCTAGGCTTTGCTGTTATACACTGGGGAACAAGGTATCACTCTCAACTTCCACAGATACTTACTGAGTCTCTATTATATACCCAAGAACTATGCTAAGCCAAGTGCTTTCAGGAGATGAGTAAGATAACCTCTGTTACAAATACCTCAATATTAAAAATCAAAGATACAACTATACAGAACCAACATTTAAAAAGGGCTATGAGGAGCCAAAAAGTAAAACAATTACTTCTATTAGGAGGACGTTAAGTGTGACAGACCTTCCAAAGGCAATCAAGCTGAAACTTGAAGAATGAGCAAATACATGGCATCTTCCCTGCAGAACTTATGTACAGACCTTTATATTTCACTGAAACAACATTCATAAGGTGACTATTCTGAAAAAGTTTCTATTTCTAGTCTATCTTCCCATTTTTATAATGAGGAAACTAAGACCCAAAAGTCACAGCCATTCAATGACAAATCCAAAACTAGACTCCAAGTCTCTTGAAACCTTGTCTATTAGTTTCTCATGAAACCATTATATTTTTTATATTTCTATTTCTCTTCCAGAGTACCTGCTTAGTGATTGCTTTGATCTCCTTAACATTTGACTTTTCAAAAAGGAAGTCTAAATTTGGCAGTGCATGTCAAAAACATTGTGAATCCTTTTTGATTCAGCAATTCTACTTCCAGGAATTTATCTTAAAGAAATATGAATGTGTAGAAATATTTAGTTTCTAAGGTGCTTGTTAAACATAGTGTATAATAGTAAAAAACTGAATACAATTTCTAACTAGAGGGGATTGATTAAACAAACCACAGCATTATCATTCTACAAAATAAAGAATGTTGTAGAGAATATTTAAGAAAAACTGTTAACTTACTGAGTGGGGAGAAAACCAGTTATAAAACAGCAAAATGCTTTTTTTTTTTTTTTGGCTCTATGTATATACAGCTAAAACTAGCTGGATGATATACTCCAGAATATTAATGGTACTTTTTCAGGGTTTTTTGTTTTTTACACTGAGTGATTGTTTTATTCTTCTTATTCATCTACATTTTTGAAATTTTCTACAATAAACATGCATTACTACAACTATAAGAACTAATAAAAGTCTTTTCATAAACATAGATCTAAGAGTCCCTCTAAAAGCTGAGGAGAGGACTAGGTGAAAAACAAAGATATTTTTCCTGGATCCCTGGGGCCCACTGGGGAGGCTGCAATAATCTAAAGGCAGTAAGGGGCTTTCTGAATCTAATTCACGTTCCAGAAAACAGTGAAGCTTATTTTGGAGACTGGGAAGTACAGTTTCATATCCAAGTTATGAAATCTAGAATTAAAAAGCCCAACAATAAATCAAATTGTCTTAAGTGGCTGAATCATGAAGCCTAAAGGGCACCAGACTAAGCAACCTGGATTCCAGCCCCAGTAGACAAGCAGTGACTTTAGCCTAAATAAGTTGCCTTATTCTTCTGAGGTCCCAATGTCCTCATCTACAAAATAAGAATGACACAGGTAAGATCAGCATTTCTCAAACTGGTGTTCCTTGGAAACATAAATAGGTCTGTCTTCATGTAAGCATGTTAAGTTTAAATAAATTTGGTAAATGCTACACTAGATTATTCCTTAGGTCTCTGATTCAAATATATAATTACCTTAGTGCATTTAAATCTATAGCTATAGATACACTGTCTACTTTTGATTTTCTCATAATAGAGAGGAATACTAGATAATATGAAATAGATGACAATCATCCAAAGAAAAATTCATACCTTGACAGGAGCAACTGAAAACAGGAAGCAAAGGGTTTAATAATAGCAAGAGGGGCAAAAATAGCATTCAAGTAAGATAATAAAAGTCATAAATTTAAACAATGTCTTTCAGTCTGTTTTGTCTCTCCTTCCAAATGATCTTTTTCTTCAAGTTATTTTATGAGTTGCTAAAATATTATAAGTTCAACCCATTCCTTTTTTTTTTTTTAAAGATTCATTTCTAGATAACATGAAAAAAAAGGGTTCGATCTTTTGACTGTGGCAATAAACTATCATCTGCCTATCCTTGGTCTGACACAGTATCCCACCTGGAGCCATTACGACTTATAAGACAAATCCAAATTTTGGAGAGTTGAGTTCTATTTCATTTAGTATCACCCATGGTCATACTGCAATAGCCAGATAAAGATCAGACTACAGAGAATTTGTAACTCATTTAAGCGAGTCTTCCCCATCTCCCTTTCTCTAAGCTCATCACAGCCACAATTGGCTCCCTCAGTAGTCACAGAGGAAGCCAAAGTAATCAGGTAACACATACAAAAGTAAAAAGTAACAACAAAGAGAAGTTTTACAGAAAGAGACGTCTAGTAACACAGGAAAGTGTAAGGTAAAGGGGTAGTTGTGAATCAACATGGAAATGTCCCTGGAATGCACTAATAACCTTCAATGTGAATAATTCTCCTGTGTATATTTGAAATTTGATGGGATATATCTAACGTGTGGATTAGCAATATACTAATTATAGGTTTATCCTACAGTAACCAGTCATTATGAAAAGGTGCTTAAGTCTTGCTAAGATTTCTCCCTCATGATGGGATTCTAGATAGAATTTAAAATCAAAGCACTTAAAAAAATCATATCATCGAGGATAAATTCAAGTAAATACTTGAGCAAATAGCATAGACGTTCAAGCTACAGATGTGTGCATCTTTATAAGTTTGCAGTCACTTGAGTAAAAAGAGGATTTGTAAGAAAAGGATTCAAACTATTACTTGCTCTGATAAAAGATACTGTATTAAAGCCAGAGGTGTTGGTAAAGAAGTCAAAGCCACAAATAAATCTTTGAATATCTAATACAGTACCCATAATAATTTTCAATGCCTAATTTTGCACTATGACTAAAATGATATATGGAAGGGATTTATTGCTATCTTCTGTAACTTCCTTTACAAACCTGAAATAACATTATGTTAATTCTTTAAAAAGCAAAAACGTGAAACCCAAGTTTCTTGCAGGTTTTTTTTTTTAAAGTATGACCATATTAAACATATTAAAGGTAGACTGCTCTAAGTAACAAATCATATGGAATTCCAAGGCAAGTCTTATTTGAATCATGGTAGAAGTACTCTCAAATAATACCATTTAAGTCCTGGGTAGCTTTTTACTAGCATTATTGTTAACATTCTAATTCTTCTCTTCCTCTGACATCCTATTCTCTATTGTGTCTATCAAGATAGCTGTTGTTTTTCCAAGTTAGTGTATCACATATAAGATACACTTTCTTATATGTGATAGAAAATTTATAGAGGTGATAGAAAATTTATCTGCTCCTCTCCGATGTAATGTGATAAAAATTAAATATAAATCAGCCAAAGTATGACTTCACAAATAAAGAAAAAATATTTCGAAGTGTCCCCTTGACTACCTTATCAACAAACACTGTTCAAAATGGGTAATTATAAAACAGCATAGGAGGAAAATCTCAGGTGTTAACTATTTTCAACAGCAACAAAATTTAAGATAAGAAGAAAACACATCTTAACATTAGATTAAAGGGATTGGGTTATAAATTTTTGCCTTTTACAGAGCTCCAAAAGTGCCTCTTGGCAATATAATCATACCAAGTAACTATCATCCATGGAGTGTTTGACAGTCAGCCAGGTACTGTGTTAGAAAACTTACACACATTAATGTTACCTACCAATAAACAATTTTTCAGGCAAGGGTACCAAGGCTCAAGTAGCTGAGCGCCCAGGGCCCTGCCGCATTGAGAAGCCTAGGGCCATACAAGTGAGTAGAAAGGAGACGCAATGCCAACCTTGTTCTGGTGTGTGCCTAGGAGCCTTCTTACTGCTGAGGAAGAGACGCTAACTTACCATGACGGGACTTGTGTGGATGCAGATCTGCTAATACTATTTAACTTTTTAAAAAATAAAATGTTATCTGTGTGCTTTATCACAGAAAAAAACCCAAGATACACTACTAGGTTGAAAAAAAAAAAAAAGTCAGGCACAGTGGCTGATGCCTGTTATCCCAGCATTTTGGGAGGCTGAGGCGGGAGGACTGCTTGAGGCCAGGAGTCTGAGACCAGCCTGAGCAACATAGTGAGACTCCAATTCTACACAAACACACACACACACACACACACACACACACACACACACAAATTAGCTGGGTGTAGTCCCAGCTACTTGGCAGGTGGAGGTGGGAGGACTACTTGAGCCCAGGAGTGCGAGGCTGCAACGGAGTATGATTGCACCACTGCACTCCAGCCTGGGCAACAGAGCAAGACCCTGTCTCAATAAATGAATGAATGGATTGATTATATATTATTGTATAAATACTTAGGAAAGGGTTTGAAAAATTCATACCAATCTCTTTACAGTGTCTACCTCTAAGAGAGGGAGTAAAACTGGAGTGGGTAGAATGAAGGGAGATTTCACTTTTTACTCTATCTGTGCTGTTTTATGAGGATGCATTATTTTTATAATGTGTTTCTATTTAAAAATAGAAAATACATGTGTGCATTCACATCACACAAACTCACACAGACGCAATATTGACCTGATGCCCTTAAATGTGAACACTCTTGTTATAGTGCCCTTACATAAGAATGGCAGTTCCCAATGAAGCAAATGGTAGCTCACAAGTACCCAAGAAAATACTCTTCCTTTTCTTATTTCTGGAGCCTAGTGCCATTCAGGACCAATCCAAGAGGTCTTTCCTAAATTCAGAATCTAAGAGGATCTACATGGATTTAGTAATGAATTATAAACATCATATCTGCTTTGACTTTTAAAGATATGGCTCAGTCTTGCTCTTTAAATGCATCTGCTGCTTCTCCATGTGGCCTACTTTGCTAATCTGGTTCACAATGCACCTTATGTTTTACACAGTACTGCTTTGGGATGTGCAAATACAGTGTTACTCCCACACAGACTGTAAGTATCATGAGGGCAGGGCTTGGATCAAACTGTCTAAGTGTTCTATTTAATTAATCAAGATTAATCAAGTTCCTGGCATTTATTTATTTCCTGAAAACTTATAAGCCAGACACCATGCCGGGAGGAGAGAATACGACAGTGACCAAAATAAACAAGGCCTATTCCTTACTGAAGGTATACTATGTTTGTGAGGGCAGGGACATGGAGAGAGGACTTGGAATACAGACATGTAATAAGCAATTATAATACAATGTAATAATGCATAAAATAACATGGAGCTATTAGAACACACATGAGGAACATTAAAGCCTACTCATTCTAGAAACAGTGAGTTCAAAGCTTTGGCCTGAAGAGTGAACAGGAATTGGATGAAAAGATGGTTAAGAAAAAAAAAAAGCAAAAAAAAATAACCCTAGGATATAGAGGTAAGAGAAAGTAGCATGGCAAATTAGAGGAACTGAAAATAGCACAGGCTGGCTGGAACCCAGAGTATGGGGGAGGGGCACGGGCTGAGAGGCGAAGCAAGAAAGTTTAGCAGGAGCCAGATCACACAGGGCTTGTAAACCATGTAAGGAGTTAAGGCGGGCTGCTAAAGAGTTTGAACCAGTGCAGTGACAGGATCAGACTTGCCTTTTTATAAAAATCACTCCAGTTACAGTGTGGAGAATGGATTAGAGAAGGGCAAGGCTGAGGGCTTATGGAGCAATTCAGGCAAGAGATAATGGTGTCCTGAAGGAAGAGTGGCAGGGCGAGGTAGAGAGAACTGGAGGGATTTCAGAGAGATTGCGGAGATTGCAGAATTGACGGTCTATTCTGCGACTTACTGGAAGTGGGAGGTGAGGGAAAGAGAGGAGTTAAAGGTGTCCAGATTTTTGGCTAGAGTATTGCCAGAGATAGAAAACACAGATATAGATGCATGTTTAGAGAGGACTGAGGGGGCAACTGAATGTGTTTAATTTCAAGCTTACTATGTGATCATGAAATACCCAACACATTATGCTGGTACAAATCCAGAGTTCTAAACTGAGACCGAGGTGGCATATGCATATTTGAGAGTTAGCAGCATAAAGATACTAATTGAAGCTATGAAACAGATGTGATTAATTTGGAGGAGAATAATTAGAGAAAAATAATAGGTCAAAGACAGACTCCTGAGGAACCCCAACATTTTAAGGGACACAAAAGAGGTTGAAAAGAGACAGCCAGAGAGGTAAAAGGAAAACCAGAAATGCTTGGAGTGAGAAAAGCCAAGTAAAGAGGGTATTTCAAGCAAAAGTAGTCAACAGTGTGTTTCCTAAACACGTGCAGACTGATTGAAGCTAGGCTTCAATAAATTGAAATGCCAGTAATTCTTCCTCTCTTCAGTTCAGCTTCCAGTTTCCTTTCACGATATTGAAAATATGTGCAATGATATTCTCTACTTTTCCAAAACTATGTTCTCCTGAGTTTCTCATTTCCAACATTTTCTCACAAGACCTGAGTCTCACCTCCAATTCTGTCACCCACAATAACTATTGCCAAATTCTGCCAGTTTCATGTCTGCAATTTTTTCATGTATTTTCTTCCCATTCCATTCCTGTTGCCTTCACCCCAATCCAGATTCTAAGTACCACACACTGGACAGCAATAGTCTACTGGTCTCTAAGACTATTCTCCTCACCTTTTCTCTAAGGCATCTGTTCAAAAAATTTCATTCATTTTGCAAATATTTACATAGGCCAGTGCTTCTCAAACTATGTATGCTAAGGTCCAGCTGTATTTTTTTTCCTTTTAAATTTCCAATCCATTGCAGACCAACATTTTTGTAAAATATAATTTTAAAAAAATTGTGATAATGTCAAATTGCTATAAACATTTGTAATTACTTATTCTTAATTTCCAATATTTGTCTTATTGTGGACTGGTAACAGTGGTTCATGGTCCAACAATGACCTGCAACCTACATCCCAACACCCCTGATGTTGATAATACATGGATAAGAAGACATTACAGTTGTGCCTTCAAAGGCCTTTGAGCAATGGTTCTCAACACAGGACAGTTTCATCACATTTCTTTTAATCGTCACTGGGGCTCGGAGTGGTGAGGAAGGGAAGTACTGACATCAAGTAGAGGCCAGGGATGGCGCTTAACATCCTATGATGCACAGGTCAGGCACCCTACAACTAAGAATTATCCAGCCTAAAATGTCAATAGTGCCAAGGTTAAGAAATTCTGCCTTAGGAGTGTAATGCAAATGAATAATTACATTAAGAACACAGCTGGATTCTAAGTATATACAAGGTGCAGGGAAACACAGGAGAAGCACCTGAGTCTGTCTGGAAGGTTCTGAGTCTGTCTGGAAGCTTAAACAGGGACAGTACTTTAAAAAGAGTCCACATCTCCTCACAGATTTCCACAACCCAACCCAAAACTAACTTTTTAATCCTATTTCCTGTTTCTTCCAAACAACAGCTCTGTTAGACTGGTCTAAGTCATGAAGTCTATACCGTGTTTAGTCTGTCACTCTTCCCAGGATATGGACAACTATCCCCTTCCCTCCTGCTATCCAAAACCGCTCAGCATTTAAGGCCTTACTCAAGCTCTGCCTCTTCTATGAAGTCTTCTCGATGTGATTCCCTTTCAGTTCCTGTAGGGCTTATCAATTGTACTGCTCATCTGGCACTTAATCAAATACTGGCCTTTGATATCACTTGTTACGTTGCTTAATTTTTTAATGATTATTTAATTTTAACATTTATGTTCCCTCTCCAGGTTGACAGTTTAAGACAGCTTCTCTGACACACCCATTCCAGTTCCTTCCTTCCTGTATTCTGCTACAACACGTGACAAAAAACACATGAAAAAAGTGGCATTAGGTATTACAGCCTACCACCAAATCTTCATGTCTCTTGAGCTCATGACAATTTGAACACATCAGATTACTAGAAAAGTTAGTTATTTACAATGCAAAGGACACCCAGTCCCCAGACCAAATAATTATACAGCTCAAAATCTCAATGGTGCCATGGTTGGCCCTTGGCTAGAACAAAGGCTGCCTCAATGATTGCTTCAAAGGTCCCCAAAAAAGTGAAGCTAGAAAGCCCATTAAAATGGTTTTACACGATGGGCTTTCATGGGAGAATAACATGTAATGGTTAAGGAAATGAAATCTGGGGCTCGACTGCCTGGGTTCAAATCTGACTCTACTACTTACTAGCTGTGTGTCTTGGACCCATTACTTCACCTTTTTGAGACAGAGATTCCTGCTCCATAATATGGAGACAATACAGTGTCTACTTCTGAAGGTTGTTGTGAGGATTAATAAACACAATAATAAAGCACACAGAACAGCGTCTGGCATTATATAAGTATTAGCCACCACCCTCATTATAATCACCAACTTACGTATGGGAGTAACGCAGGAGAAAACACCAACCGCTTCACTTCAGGAGTCATGGGAATTCGATTCCTCAAGAGAATGGTTTTTGAAGACTAAAAACAAATTCACGCCCAGTTCCTCAAATGTCAGAAGCTCTGCTCTCCCTCAGCTCGCTCTGCTCCCACTCTTTCTTCTTTAATGCTGCCTTGGCTGCCTAAAGGCCTGGATGCAAATGTTCTCATGTTTGAAGGGCAGACTACTTACACCATTACTATAATGCAGAACATTCTGGGGGAAAGCAGTTTGTTATATATGGAGAAACTTTTTCTCTTCTTGACCAAATAGGATAGGTGTTCTGTCTACCCTCTAAGGGGCTGCCAGCAAAGCCCTTGGAATCCAGGCCTTTTACCCTGCACTCTCCTCCTCCACAGAAAACTTCATGAAGGCGGAAGGATGTACCTGTTTCCTGCTGACTTTCCATGCTGATGGTAGAGTCACCCCAAGAAACATACTGTGATATTATCTTTTGTCTGTTGGCTTTTAAAATCACACATTAGAAATACAATAAAACATTCAGACATAAAGGTAAAATTGAGTAAAAGAACAAAACTTTCCCTTTATTCCCCATCTTAGCTTCCCTTCCATGGAAGTAAACACTTTTTTTAATTTTTAAATTAAATTTTTAAATTAAAAAAATAAATAAATGAGACAAGGTCTCACTATGCTGCCCAGACTGGTCTTGAACTCCTGAGCTCAAGTGATCCTCCCATCTCAGCCTCCCAAAGTGCTAGGATTACAGGTGTGAGCCACCACATTCAGCCATAAACCTTTTTTCAATTTAATGTATGTCCTTAGAGATTTTTAGAATGCATTTGCTTTTATATATTTTTTATTAACACAAACATGTCTCTACATTTGGAGCTATATCATTTTAAGATTGCCTCTAACCGGTTTCTTACTGGTGGGCACTCAGGTTAACACTTAGATCTCAACTTTGTAGTGACCCAACTGTTGATCTGTAAGTAACTCAACTGTAGTTGCCAGGAAATCTAATCCATTTGGTGACTCTGTAGACAGCACTACCTCTCCAAAAGATTTGTTTCTTAAAGTCTGTCTATAAATGCAAAATGCCAGGTGAATTTACATACAGTTTGACTTTCAGATATAAGCACAACTACTGTTCAAATATACATTTAACTTAAAAATTTAAAACCAATGGAAAAATTAATTCAAGGTTAAAAAAATTACAATTTATAGAAAGTTATCTAAAGTATTTTTTAGGGTCTATGTTTTGTCTCTAAATCCTGATCTAGAGATTTTTGAAATCACATGGTCTTAAGCCATTTTATTCTTCTAATTAAAAAAAAATCTTTATAAATTTCCTGACCTGAAGTTTTCAGTAAATTATTACATTCTTCGTATCCAGGTATCATCTATAAGTACTTAGTGGAGAACAGGAAGGCAGAAATTTTGCATCTCTAACTAGTGAGCAACTGCTGTCTTTTCCTCTGCTAATAAATTACAGGCAGACTTGAACAGATGTCAGGTTGGCATTCAAAACCTAAAATATAGCTGAAAAGCAAGTTATGACTAATACAAGAAAAAAAGATGAATGTCAGAAGGCTTCATTTTTTTTTCTTTTTTTCAAATTTCAGATAAGCTCTTTAGCCTTAGGGTTCCTTTTACAGAGCCCTGGAGTTCGCCTGGATGTCTTAACCCCCATTTAAAATGCAATCTCTCCTCATGAGTGGGGGTGTGAAAATGCATTTTAAGAGTGTCAGTGTTTATGTTAATCTTAGCAAGAACTCCCTCTCTCCAAAATATGGCATGCACAAAACCTTAGTGCCCTTTCTTCCACTATGTTTTATTTGCACTGTTTTTAGTATGTGAAAGATGTCTGTGTGATTGAAAGGTTCCTTATCTTCTCAGCAGTTCTGTTTCATAGAGTAACTACAATTTCACTTATGATATCAGAAAAGAGTTGCTTTCCTCTTGAATTTCAAAAGAAACCTTAAAAATACGATTGAAAATGGGCTTACAGAGGGAGACACTGGGGAAAGGAGACCAAAAAGAACACAGTGTCAGTTTCAAAGAATGGGGGCACAAGACCATAACAAGTGGCTTTCCTCCCCACTAGGTGGCCTGAACATCTACACCCCACAGATCCACTGAAAGACAGTGTGAGGCTGAGGTCTTCCCTCTTTACATCCTTTTCCTTCTAGATCTTTCCTTGGGTAGATGTGAACCTATTCCCAGGATTACATTAAGAGACGCTGACTAATTCTTTAACAATTATTCCACTGTTCATTGAAAACGATGTGTTTTTTTGCTTTGACATTTATAATTTAGAGAGAATTGCCAGGGATGCTGAAAAAATGAAGTTTCTTGGCAGAAACGCTATCTTTGCTAACAAAATAGCTACAGTGAGAACTGAGGTAATCAATCATTTATTTATCCTGAACACTGTCCACAAAACTGCATACAGGGGAATAAGTGTGGTAAATGTCCGAACACAAGTATTCAGTATCTATTCAGTTAACACCTGAATATGCTGAAAGACAGCAATCAGCTGTTGAATTTATTCACCCATACTTCCAGATACCAGCTTTGATGTTCACATTTCTACCCTGGGACTCAAATGTGGCTTCTATTAGCCCATAAAATTATGGATTTAAGGTAATTCTTAATTAAAAATCTGTTTTGTGGGGGGTTGGAAGGCATTCTAACTAAATATCTATTTGGTATTTACTAAGTGCAAGGTATAGGTTTAGTTTTCTTCGCTCGTTGCTCTCATATCCTTCCAAGGAAGGGCTGCCCCACTTGGGTTTGGGTGAGCTCAACTGCTTCAGACAAGGGGAAAACTCAACAGTTACTCTGATTAAAACAATAACAAAAACAAAAGTCTAAATTGATATTCCCCTAAATAATCCCTTTTCCTTTATCCCTCAGTCTAGAGAGCTTTATGTGACTTCCTTTCTCCTTTAAGGGTTTCCTTGATTTTAATTCTACAAAAATATAACAAAAGTACAAAAGCAGAAAGGCATACATTATCTTCTTCTTTTTTTTTTTTTTTTTTTTTTTTTTTTGAGATGGAGTCTCGCTCTGTCGCCCAGGCTGGAGTGCAGTGGTGCGATCTCGGCTCACTGCAAGCTCCGCCTCCCGGGTTCACACATCCTCCTGCCTCAGCCTCCCGAGGAGCCGGGACTACAAGCGCCCGCGACCACGCCCGGCTAATTTTTTCTGTTCTTAGTAGAGACAGGGTTTCACCGTGTTAGCCAGGATGGTCTCGATCTCCTGACCTCATGATCCGCCCACCTCGGCTTCCCTAAGTGCTGGGATTACAGGAGTGAGCCACCGCACCCGGCCTAAGGTATACACTACCTATTTGAAAGACCTTCAAGAGAGAAACTAACAGATTGGAAACTCCATGACAGTTATTTTCAAGTATATTACCTCATTGGTTCCCTAATTTTACTGCTTAATTGTGTGCCTCTCATTAAGTCCTTTAGTCCTCCTATATCTCATCAGCAACATTCTGTTCGTAGCTAAACTATATTTTTCAATTTTGAAAAGGCAACATGAAGTTTTATAGACAAAAAGAAAGAACTCTGTTACCTAGAAGCATAATTATCAGTCTGATGAACATAATGACAGAAGAGAAGAATATTCTAAATTTATCACTTTGTAAATTTGAAAATTGATATATAGGCAAAAAATCCACTTAGTTAAGATTCCTGTTTACGAAGTAGACATCACTTTAGACTCCATGGTAAAGACAGTAATTTGGTCTCAAGCCAAAAGTAAAGTTTTCTGCTTAAAACAAAAAAGCCCCATAACCTACATAAATTATTCTTTTCTAATCTTTTTTAAAAATTAGAACTGATTTAACCAGTCATACTCAGTGTCCAGCTGAATCCCCAAACCATATAGATCTGTCTATTTAGTTAACAAAGAGTGGGGGAAAAAAATCCATGTTGTTCCCACCTGACATGTCAAAAAAAAAAAACAACACAGAATATGCATAAAAATAATTTGTATAATTTTATTTATATTCTGTCAAAATATAACCATTTTTATTTATATACCTTTACCAAAGCCTAAGGAGAACTTTATAACCACACTGTAATTGGAGTGCAAGAAAGGATTTTACTATATAATTCCCCCAAAATTCAAAGGAAAAAAGAAGCCTCTATTGGAAGACAGGGAATTATACATGCATTACAAAAGAATTATTTCTCAGCCATTTAACCATTAAAAAAAAAAGAAGAAGCTTTACTTTTTTTTAGATACCCAGAAACTTCATCCAGAATAAAGAAAATAAGTTTTTCAATTCAGCTCAAAAGCCAGGACAGCTTTATACTAGTTTGTCTTTTCAATGAAATTGGTAACAAATGCTTCCTGATGGCAAAAAGCCATAAAGAGAAAAAAAAAAAAAACTTTTCCAAAAGGATAGAATTCATTTTTTGTCTAATTAAATTAGTGTAAAAATATTAGAAAAATAAATCCATAAAAAAGGTTCTGGACAGTGGCACTCACAAAATTCAAATCCATAGTGTTTAGTCAAAAAACACATCAAAAACAACAAAAAGCACACTACTGTAATTCAGCTCATTTCAATACGGATATCAGAAACAGATGAAATTCACTAACAAATTCCAAATCTGTTCTGATTTAATTTAAAACTCTCCAACAGCTGGCAAGGTCACAAACTGACCAATGTGAGACCAACTCCTTTACGCATTATCTACCCAACGCATACTGACGTTGCGCGTAGCTTCAAGTGCAGGATCTAGATAATGCACAAATAGCAAACTAGTATCTGAATAACTGTTATCTTCAATAGCTTCCAAACAGTGAGAAAACATTTATAATTAAAAGAGACGGCTTACTACCAATGCAGTTATTTTTCTACTTTTTGGCTAAACAGTATAAATGTTCTAAGAAACAGAATCATTAGACTCTTCCTGCACTAGATCTCAGTTCTGAAAACCAGTAAAAACATTCCACAAGAATAACTTAGAACATTTGGAATCATCTTTTTATCCCTGCTTTTACCCAAAATACACTTAAACAATATTTTCATGTCTTGATCGAAAATACACATTACCAAGATAGTGAACTACCACATTTTAAAATATTTTCCCAATTAAAATTCTGCTTTTAATGGACGTGGCCTTTGTATCTTTGAGATAAAAAGTATGCTATTGCCATTTCAAGGTGTATAAAACTCAGGTGATGAGGGTCTCTGTCATTTTCTCTTAATCCAATTCCAAACTCGACCTTTACTCAGTGAACAGGTGTGTGCCGTGCCTGTAATTTATCAGAGTGAGCGACCAGGCAGAAAGGCTACCAACAATAGAAGGCTAATACAATCCAAGCACTTAGTGCCTAGAAAGCAGTTCTTATCCCCACTATAATAAATATACTTTTATCTTCCAGTAGCAATTTAAAGATAAAGAATGATGGGGATGAGCGGAGTAATATATTCATATTCCTTCCATTTTTTTTTTGGATGCTGTTTTTACACTAATAGTCTGCCAGAAGCTGTTATGTTATACATTCCTTTCTCAGATATTCTGTTGCTCACATTCCAATCCAACGAATGATATGGACATGAAAACAGTCATGACAGCATTTCCACTGGGCAAATAAAGTCACTTCACACAGATAAATTAAATAAACCTTCAAGAAGAAAGTGGTAAACGAATAGTGCACTTCTTTGTATGCAATATAGAAACTCCAATGTATATCCTGCATTTGTCTTTTTGGATCAAACTTATTTAATTTAAAAATATGCAAGTACCCATTTATTAGGTATGAAGATGTACTAACTGGGTAATGCAACAGTACAATAAAAAGGAACGGCAGCTAATGTCAGAACAATGCACACAGCCTAATAGATAGTTATTATTCAGCAGGGTACATCTGACCCATAGTGATCTTTAGAGTCAGGTGAACTTTCTAAATATGCCCTATAGAAAAACATTCTTACGCAAATAAATAAATAAAATGGAGTCACTACTAGTATTATTACTGTCAGGGGAAGTTTCTAAATATGCCCCATAGAAAAGCATTCTTCAATAAATAAATAAACAAAATGGAGCCACCACAAGTCTTATTTCTATGATTTCCCCATAAAATTAAAATGTAATTTTAAAAGTTCTGGTATTATAAAGTTTTTCAGAAAATTTATCTGTTCATTTTTAAAGAAAAAGACAAAAATAATGGGTCTGAAAAATAATTTCAAAACTATTGAAAAGAGATTCTTCATTGCATTAATTTTTTTAACAACACAAGATTTTATAACATTTTCCTTTTTAAACTTACCCATCTGCTCCACAATCTCTGGAGGAAATACTCGGGAAGCAAATGCTCGTCGGAAAATATCTGAAAATTCCTTGTCTAGACCTCCTATTCCCATTTTTTCAAAGTTCCAGTCAGGATTGATAATTGATTGGCGATTTTCCTTGGTTTTAGCTTTGCCTATGTCAAACGAATATTATCAAATGTGAAACAAGGACTTTATCACTAAGTCTAAAAAGACAGACAGAACTCCCTGAGCATCCTAAATGAATAAAGAAAAGCTACCCTTACATATACAAAACGAACAATATAATCTTAGCTGATTTTACAGTCAGAAGGGTAAGTTTTGCTATGCTATCTACTTTGTCTGATCTCCATATATGGTAACACACTGTCAAAATGACTAGCTAAACTTATGCTGTAGTCTATTTGTATCAGTCCATAAAACTTAGTTTTATTAACCTTCAATCTAACTAAATTAACTAACTCGGTTGATCAGAAGAAATGCCATATCTGATGAAGACAACACTAGCTGGCAGAAATGCAACTGAAATCTCGCAGTCACTGAAGTCTCCTAACGCAAGTTTATTTTAAAATACATATATTTATCCAGATTAAGCTTATACAGGTAATTGGGCATATAACCCCTCAGCCTAAGGAAATATACTGAACAAGTTTGATGTCTTCTTTGCTTTCTCTTCACTTGGACACAAAAGTCTGAAATCATCCTAAAGACTTCAATGATTACAAAACTCATGTTTAAAAATTCTCAAGAGGACAAAAATTATCTAACTTAAATGTCAGAGTGCCACCTAAAGTAACTCAAGAGAACCACATTTACTATTTCAAACAAAGAATAAATTAAGTACCTTAGTATGCTCTATTATAAACAAAAAATAAAGTAATAATATGGTTTTTATAAAACCAGGGAAGAAAATGTCACATTAAAAAAAGTTTATCCTAAGAAATGCTAAATATTTGAGGTGATATGTTAATTAGCCTGATTTGATCATTCTACAATGTATACATGTATTAAAATATCAAATTGTACCCTATAAATATATACAATTATTATCTGTCAATTAAAAATAAAGTAACGCTTTTTAAAAGTTTATACTAGATGATAATTTTATGGTTAGAGTTTTGAGGCCTTAAGATTTCCTTTGGAAAGCGATGAAAAATATTTTTTTCTTACACTCTACTGCCCTCTTGTGGGCAAAATTTACTGAATGCCAATTAACTACACAATTTTTTTCCCATGGATTACTTAGAAATACCTATGAAAGTTATGCAACTCCCTTGGGATATCTTAACAAAAGGTACACAAAAATAAAATACAAAGAAATCACTTCATAAATGTACTAGATCAATAACAGGAAAATACATCCTACCTTCATAAAATGACATACAGGCATTAAAAATCATGTTATAGGTGTATATTTAAGATGTTTGAAACATGCTAAGCAAAAAAAGCAAATTACAAAACTATGAAAACAGAACCAAATTTTACAGTGTGTGAATTGTTTTCGAATGCCTATCCATATTTTATAAATAAAATATTTTATAATTAACAAAAAACAATAAGGGGGAATGGTAATTTGTGGACCAGGAAATAAAGGCCACGCACTCAAAGACTGTTAAGTGACCCTGGACATGATGATGTGCAACCAATGAAAACCCTCTACTCTCTAGTAGGGTAGACATCAACATAGTTAAATCAACCAAAAATAAGAATTAATGCCCAGTTAATGTCACATTATTCTGGTGAGTTACTATTCTCAGAGAATAAGCTGCAATTGTTTTAATATGACAAAAATTGTGCTAGAGTACAAGAGTAGGACTGAACCATGAATCTGCTGGGAAGACTTGACCTGCACATTCATCACTTAATCACTAAAAGAAATGATGATGCTGTCTCATTTAACACAAAACCAAGTGAGGGGCATTCTACAAAATAACTGACCAGTTCTCAAAGTCATAAAAGACAAAGTCTGAGGAACTGTCAGTGACTGAAGAAAACTCAAAAGACAGAACAACTAAATGCAATATGGGATCCTAAATTAGATCTTGGAACAGAAAAGGACACAATGGAAAAACTGGTGAAATCTCAATAAAATCTGTAGTTTAGTTAGCAGAAATGAAACCATGTTCATTTCTTATCATTGTACTTTTGAAAATGTCAAATAAGACATTAACATCAGGGTAAGCTGGTAAAGGGCATACAGAAATTCTCTGAGCTATTTCTGCAAATCTGTGAACCTAAAATTATCTCAAAATTAAAAGTTAAAAAATTAATTTGTTTCTTATTTTAGTGCAATTTCTAGGAAATTAAAAATTACACATGTGGCTCACACTCTATTTCTATTGGACAAAGTTGATCCAGATGAAGGTTTTAAACGTTTTCATCAGCAAACTGACCAACAGGAAATACCCCATGCTTCTGTGATAAACTCTCTCAAGAGAGATGCCCCTCTTTCCTTTCCCCATTTGGAAATCACTGTAGTTGAGTTACATATAGAAATAGGCCCACTTCATTTCAAATCTTCTAAAAACTGTAAATCTTACCAATAAGATTAAGTGACGAATTTTCTGCTTTTTCAAATGCAACTTGACTGTTTCCAACAACCAGTCCTACTTCAATCTGTAGAGAAAGACAATAATTAGTAGTCTAATAGCAAACTTCTGGACTTCTCAAAGCAAGGCCAAAAGTGAGGGGGAAATGAGGTCTCTCTGGGCAAAGCAAACCTTCCAGACTATCATCTGAGCTACTTTTACTTTTCTCATAACTTTCTTCTACAATTCTTACATGCCTTATTTCCATGCCTATATCTTTCCAATAATGCGTTTCTTATTATTTATTTACAATAAATATCTGCATTCAAGCAAATTATATGTACATATATGTCTACATTTTACATTAATATTAGGTCTGCAAATAAATACATTTTAAGCTATATTTTAATAACAATGATGGCTACGAAAGCAATTTTTTCTCCCTACTATCTTAAAAGGGTACACAATATGAAAAAAATCACTAAGCAACAGATAGGAAAATTATAATCAATCTGCACAAATTACATTATAAAGATGATCTAGTAAAGATGATCAGAAATAAAAGCTACCTTCTGCCTTTTCCCTGTCGCAGGCTCTCCCTTCAGGATGCTAGGATCCATGGCTTCAATGTCCTTCACCAGTAAGCCAAAAAGCTTTTCATTGAAGCTAAAGACAAGCTATGTAGAAAAGAGGTAAGGGGAGAAAAATCACTTCATAATATAATGGTTTGATCCTCAGATCATCACCAATGTTTTTCAAATGCAGAAAACCAGTTTATCTTATATACTCCTCTCCAATCTGCTCCTCAAACAAACTACTCATAGCCAATGAAGAAAAGGGAATTAGCACTTACGATCAGTGTTTACAAAATGACTGCAAAACTCATGTTTAAAATTTCTTCCACATGGATAAAAAATATCTAATTTAAATGTCAGAGTGCCACCTAAAGTAATTCAAGAGTACCACATTTACTATTTCTAACAAAGAATAAAGTTTCTTAGTATTTTATTCAAACACTACAGCCAGTTATATAATATTCACAAACACTCTTGGAAGCAGAAACTACGACTCCATTTTACTAGTGAGGAAGCTGAGATGCAGAAACAGGCTATGCAACAAGGCTCAAAGTCACAGTAAATGAGAGCGCCAGAAGTCAACCCTGGGTCTGTGACTCTACAATTCCTGCTTTTCTATCACTAGTACAAAATGCTTGCCCTACAAGTGCAGAGACAGCTTCTGAATGCTCAATTACTCATTCACCAAATCTTTGCTGAGTCCCTTCTAAAAGTTTGGTCTTCTTCTATGTGCTGGGGTATAATGGTAAATATTACAGGTTGGGCTGTCTGTCCATTCTGCTACTACGAGATACCACAAATGAGAAGAAACAGTAAGGACAGTGATCTGGAGTAAGATATTTACTTCTTCTCTGAATTACGAAAGATTCTCTTTCATGGATTTACTGACTTCTACATGCTACTGAGTTTTAAATTATTATAAATACCAAAGCATTTTCTATTAAACATTCTCCTAAACATTTTCTATTAGGATACTAAAACTAAAAGCAAAGGTAAAAACCATCAAGTTTAGCTAGGCAATCTGAGCACAATTTTGGTCATCCAATACACAACAGCACCGCAATAGCTCTCTGGTGAATTGTCCTGATCTACTTTCATCAGAGACCTAACTGTACATGGTATTCCTGTCTTATTTTCTGTTTTCTTCAACTAGAAAGTAAGTTCTATGACAGCAGGGATCATATCTATTTTGTTCACTGCCGATCTGCAGTGTCTAAAACAGTGACTGGTACTAGGCACTAGGTACTATCAAATATGTGTTTAATTAATTCTTATCTCAACTATGTCCCTTAGCTGTGTAGCCATGGGCATACCATTTACCTTCTTTAGATCTTAAATTCCTCATTTGGCCAGGCGTGATGGCTCACACCTGTAATCCCAGCACTTTGGGAGGCCGAGGTGGGAGGATCACTTGAGGTCAGGACCAGCCTGGCCAACATGGCAAAACCCCATCTCTACTAAAAATACAAAAAAAAAATGGTTGGGCATGGTGGCTCATGCCTGTAATCTCAGCACTTTGGGAGGTCAAGGCGGATGGATCACCTGAGCTCATGAGTTCGAGACTAGCCTGAT